>NC_000005.10:117382534-117685564 GCF_000001405.40 Homo sapiens
AAACAGAATCAAGGCACTAAAAGAAATTAGGAATAGACGTTCTCTAATTGGAATTCCATGTTCATAGTACAACATACATAACAAATCAAAGAGAATAATCTGATTTTATATTTTCCCAAGCTAGTGGCAGCAGGATGTATCTGAGTCATGCAGCACCAACATATGTTACCAGCAGCAAATCCATACAGGTCTGCAGCAAGCTCAATTCTTGCCTCCTTAGAAGAAAGAACTCAACTGAGGGGCACAAAGCAGAAAGAGAGACTCAGGCAAGTTTCAGAGCAGAAGTGAATGTTTATTAAAAAGCTTCAGATCAGGCATGAAAGAAAGTAAAGTACACTTAAAATAGGGCCAAGTGGGTGACTTGAGAGTTCAAGTGTGTAGTTTGACCTTTGACTTGGGGTTTTAGACATTGGCATGCTTCCAGGGTGTTGTGTTCCTTCTCCTCTTTTTCTCCCCAAGGGTGGACTGTCTGCATGCACAGTGGCCTGCCAGCACTTGGGAGGGGAGTATGTGCAGCGTGTTTATGGAAATTTTACACATACTCAAGATATTCTCCCTTTACCAGTTGAATGTCCCTAGGAGATCATATACCAGCTAAACTCTATCATTTTGCCTCTTAATATGCATGCTTGAGCCCACTTGCCCAACTCCTGAGACCTTATCGGGAAGCTGCTGATCACTAGTTTCAGGTGTTGCTGTTTATTGACAGACTGTCTTTCTCTGGCACTGGCTGCAACCAATTATTATTTGAGACAGTCAAATAACTGCCTATCACCTGATAGTTGCCTGACATTCCTGGTGGGTGAGGGCCCTCTCCTGCCCTACTCATGTCTGCCTGACTACCTGCTGTAACACTAGCATTGGCCATCAACATATGTGTAAGTATCCTTACATTTCTCAGGAAACATGTCTGCCGAAAGGTAGATTCTAGGGCCTCTGAGATGGGAAGAGTGGAGTTATTTTGACTAAGTGCAAAGCAATAGACACTTTTTTTTTTCATCTAACTGGGCAGAAAGATAGCAATAGAGAATATTGTGGGGACTTAATTTTCCCCCATGGACTGTTATAGTTATTAGATAACATTAAAGTTAAAGTAAAAACAAGTGAGTGACTGAAGACAGGATGCTAATAATAAAAATAATAATAATAAAAACTTGATAGTATTTAATAGCAAGAATGGGATGC
Source organism: Homo sapiens (assembly GCF_000001405.40). Classification (NCBI taxonomy): domain Eukaryota; kingdom Metazoa; phylum Chordata; class Mammalia; order Primates; family Hominidae; genus Homo; species Homo sapiens. Next base: position 117,383,720 of record NC_000005.10, read on the forward strand.
TAAGTGCTCCCAAAGCAATATCAAATAATTCATAACTATATAATTTTAATGAGGCAGGCTAGAGCTCAAAATGGGCGATCTGGCATTTTTTAAAATAATGGATGGACCATGTAGATAGTATAATATGATTTAACTTTATAAATGTACAGTCCTCAAGGATTTTTCACAAGAAACTTTATTTCTTATAAGACTATTCTTGTCATAGAAATGAAAATATTATATTTAAAACTCATCCTGAAGTTTGAAAATGGGGGTTCACTCATTAATTGGGTGAATAATTATATTCTTGATAAGGCATGCCTTCTTTTTAACCTCCTCATTTCTTCGTATGTACAATATCTGTGAAATCTAACTTTATATATTTTATGTCTGTTTTTGTCTCTTGGGGATATACTGCTTTTATTATGGTAAATTATAAATATGAATAGAAATATCTCCACAGTGGATAATTTACAACAATGAAATCTATTGGCCTTATTTCTACCATTAAGGAAGACTTTGTGTACACTGTTGATAACACCAAATTTAAAAATAATAGGCAAAGGTAACCACATATCACGTATCATCCTCTTAGAATGCCTATTATTTATCCTTTGTATAAAAGCAAATGGCCCGAGAGCTCTCAAGGCACAGCAGGACAAGGATAGGACATGGAAGAAGGACATTCTTAATCCATATCACCTATTCCTGGCTCACTCTGCATATGTGGGAATTAAGTTACCTGATATAAGAGAAGGTTTATTCATTCCTAGGCTCTAGCAGGAATAGTTTTGGTACTTGTGCTTATCTAACAACACAATTTACCAGTGGATTTATTTTAAGTTATATCTTTACTTCAAGTAGCTGAATTCAACCTTTTCCCTAAATGTCAATAGACACAATCCATTGATGTAAATCCACCCACATTCACCTCCAAGATGAAGTTTACAGGATTACGTCCAAGTCTCTATTTGCCCAAGCAAGCAGAAGGTAAATGTAAGCATCGTTTTATTCATCTATTCAATAAACAATTGTTAAATAAATGCTATGTATCTTCTTTAGATCTTTAGAATACAATCTCTGTTTTCAGAGGGGAGCACAGTCTAGTGAAAAAGGCAGATAGATAAGAAGATGACTTACATTATTAAGTGCTATGTACCACAAGAAACCCGTAAGTAACGTGCTATAGAAGCATGACTCAAGCTAAAGAATTTGGGAAAGACTATAGGTGCTTCAGCGAAGATGGTTGTCATGAGTTAGATTGAAAGGACTCTTTAAGAGCCCAGATTCATGAGCTTGACATAAGTGCCTCATTATGACTATGTTAATTATGCCAATCATTTGAAAACCACAAATATAAATAATCAAGTTCTTATATATTTATCATTTTTGAACATATTAATCATGTGTTTCTACTATTTTAGGCATATGAGTCCTAATTATTTTTTATTTTATAAATTTATAAGCAAAAAAAAGCCATTTTTCTAGTTATATTGCTATGATCTGAGTGTTCCCCAAAATTTATATGTTGAAACATAATCCCCATTGTGGTGGTATTAAGGGGTGGGGCCCTATGGGAAGTAATTAGGCCATGAGGGCTCTGCTCTGCTGGATGAAGTCATACTTATGAAAGGGCTGAAGGGAACTAACCTAGGCTCTTTTTGCCCTTCCTCCTTACATCATGTGAGGACACAGCCACAGTGTTTGTCCCTTCTGCTGTGTGAGGATGCAGCAAAAGGTCCCTCAACAGACACCAAATGCCAGTGCCTTGATCTTGGACTTCCCAACCTCCAGAACTGAAGAAAAAAAAATTTCTATTGATTTATAAATTATCCAGTCTGTGGCATTTTGTCATAGCAGCACAAATGGACTGAGACACATATTTACCTTCTAAGCATTCCAGGGTGATTAATTTAAGATATGACTAGCATTTGGTAGATGCTAATTAACAAACTGATTTTGAAATTGGGATGAGAGATAGAGAAGAAGAATAACTTGGCACTGGCATTTCCTATGTTGTGATTTGGATAGAATCATGTAACCCATCATGTTCTTACCTGTAAAATGTGTAGTTGGAGAAGATGATTGTTACGACCACAATCATGCCTTAAGTTTTATGACTACTAATGATGGTGGTGGTGGCCTATCTAGAGCAGCTGCTGTGGGGATGCTAGCTGCAGCAGGGGAGGTGTGGCCAGGGCTGCATGCTCCATGGAGCCAAAGGGAGTTAGGAGCAGGCAGGAGAACCACCCCTTACTGAACTAGCAGGTAGGAGCCCTATGCTCCTGGGTGCAGCTGCAGCCACCCAGCCACAGCTCTGGACCTTGCCATCCATGAGCTCTCTGGGCCCAGAAATCCCCTGTCTCATTAGGCTCAGAAGTGCTTGCTTCCACTTCCTGGCTTCTCTCTGCTCTTGGTGCCCACTCTGATTTTGGAGCAAAGTTGTGGCTGAATCAGAACTGTTGTAACCTGGCCAGGTGTGTGTGCACTCAGGGCAATGCTGACACACCAGCCCCCTGCTACCTTGGCCCCCTCTAGACTTTGGACACTGACAAGTGTGGGAGGGAGGCCAGGGTTGCTGAGGGCAGCTTGGCATGGTCCTGCAGGAGCCCCTTGGTGCAAACAGCCTGGGCACCATGGATGGTATGTTGTTGGTGGCAGGAGGCAGACAGGTTCCTAGGCAGGAAGGAGCAGGTCCCCAGTGAAGCCCACCTTCAAGACAGGGATGGCCTGAAGCCTCGGGATCAGGCTGCCAGTTCTGGGTGGAGTCTGTGACTCAGAGTGAGAACTTATGGTGCTTTTTCCAGGCCCACCCATGGCTGCCCATGGAGCACTCAGCATGCACTTCCTCCCTTCTGAGTGCATAAAAACCCCAGATTCAGCCAGACTCAGACACTTGTTGGATGACCTGCCTGCAGATAGGAGCTACCCACTTCAGGTCTTTTCTACAGTCATCAGGATGACTTGCCTGCAGAAAGGAGCTACCCAACTTCAGGTCTCCTCTGCACTGAGAGCTGGGCACTTGTTGGGACAACCTGCCTGCGGAAAGAAGCTACCCACTTCAGGTCTCCTGAGAGCTGTTTTGTCATTCAGTGAATCTCCTCTCTGCCTTCCTTACCCTCCAGCTTGCCATCTACCTCATTGTTCCTGGTCATGGAACAAGAACTCGGATCCTGCTAAATGGTGGGACTGAAAGAGCTATAAAACAAATAAGGTTGAAACCACTTACCATGTTACAGGTGACTAGAAGGAGAGAAGAGTCATGGGTCTTTTGGGAGTCCAGACCTTGGGGCTCCCTGAGACAGGGCTGTGACACTGTAACATCATCTTTGGGACTCTGCGGTTCCTGGCATCTTCGAGCTTTTGGGAACCATCATGTTCCCCTTCTCCAGCTGCTTGTGCCCACAGTGGAAGCTGCTTGTGGTACATCCGGTCCAGCTGCAGCCTCAAACCCTGTGCTCACTTGCTCACATACCCCTTGCTACTCCACATCTGGCTTACCCTTAGCAGGTGTGGAATCTGGGCCAGTAGCATGACCCACGCTTCCAGAATACCGAAAGTGTTCTGGAACTACTTTACCCTAGATGCTAGGTTTTTTACTTTCACCTCAATGTAAGGATCCCCAAAATTCACTCCTCTAAAGAACAAATGATGAATGGCAAAAATTGTACAAAATCAACTCTCTTAGTACTTTGGAAATTGAATGAAGGTTTGCAACAATCCAAGGAGCATTTATTCAAGAAGAACAGCTGAATCTTGGTAAAAACAGAAAACTGTGTGGTGTTTTAATTTTCCCTTTCCCCATTCCCATCGCTGAAGATTAGCAGTATCTTTGAAAACCAACAGCTTTGCAACCACAGTAGCTGTGGAAACCAGTAACCTGGCAACCACTGGAGGGGCAGGATAGATTTCATACAGATTTAAAAGTGTTTTAAATGCTTTTTAAAAGTGGGCAAGGCATGTTTAGAACTAAAAGTCCCATCCCCAGAGACTTATCTTTATTTAACTTCTATGCGAATTCCCTGGAAAACTCCATTGTTCTGAATTAGAGCTTGCTCTGTCCAAACAGCCTTATTCTTTCTTCAATCTTATTCCTTGGATGTTTGTCAAAAAACAATCAGCAGCAATTCGTTAATATTTCAGTTGCCTGTAGCTGTGGTAATAGTTAGGACTAACAAGAGGTGACCAAAAACCATTTTAAAAAATGGCAAATGAGTTGTTCATATAGGGCTTTGCAAAGCTCTGACATACACCTGGGAGTCTAGAGAGACAGGTATGTAGGCACAGTTGTGCCCCAGAAAGACATGGGAAGACACTAATGTCACCTTTGGATGACCTTGAAACTCTTACAAGCAGGACATGAAGGCTAAGTCAAAATTATAAACTTCCTGATGGAGCAATGAAGATTTATCTCAATATACACATATAACTCCTTCAGCAATGACTGAAACATTTAACAATACAAGGTATTTAATGATCAAGCAAGGATTTCTAATCAACCATGTTTTGGCCACAACTAGATACATCATAGTCAGGTAGTTGAAATCTAAACACAAAGTTAATAACTTGAAATAGTAAGAGGAGGGGAACTTGCAATAAAACACTAAATAGGACCTTTTAGCTGGATCCAGTTGCATTCATACTAATAGTCAATATGCATAGGAGAAACAGGCTGAGGTTCCACTTTATAAAAGCTATGACTTGTGAAAAAGGCAATATTCCTCAAAACATTTTGTATTAAATTGTTCCTCTGTAAAACTATGTAAAGCACTCTTAAATCAATGAATCACGGCAAACTTATAGTCAGTGTGTATTTGAGAAGTTTAGCAGGTACTTAGAGATCATAAATACCCATAAACTGCCATCAAGGGGCCTTGCTCCAAAGCTGACACTCCACAGGAAAAAGTTGATTAATCAAACTCATTTTTCTTCAAATAAGGTCATTAATCAAAATTGTTTTTTTTCCAACTGTAACAAATGAGATTTGAGGAGAAGAGATGCTGCAGAATGTAGTCCTGATGGAGAAAATACTTGGTGTCCTTTTCCATTTCTGCCAATTGACGTAAATTTAACAAATAAACTCAATGAGAGAAAGCGAGAAAAGTCTCCTCTAGCCTGTCTAGGAAGAAGGTCTAAGGATCAAATATTCACATGCCCTCAGAAGTGGTTAAAATTATTCTATTTAATCCCCTCAAAACATTGATTCCACTGAGGGAAGACACGACACATACAGCCTATTAGTTAAGACACTCTGAATTCTTGGTTATATTTGAAATCATAAAGATAAGTGTGTCATTATATCTGGTAGATGTAATGTGATAACCAAAAATGTATATATCATAAAAACAATAACACATTAGTAAAATTAGTGAAGTTTAATAAAGCTTAATAAATAAGTGAAGTTTCTATTTCTCTGTTCTTCACTTTTCTGAATACTCCATACTTGTCTATTCTTTCAGAATTGGTGAAAAATATCAGCGTTGTATATCTAAATCACCGAGAACAGAATTGGAACGTGGAACTTTGCTTTTTACAATATTTCATGCTCTTTAAATTCAAAAATTTTTGAAATGTATTGGCAATGAGCTAATAGGATGAATTTTTTTTTTTAATTTTGAGAAGAGGAGACAAAAATTTGTGGACTTTTAAGGACTTTTGAGTCACACATTATATAATCAAAGCAGCTATATTTTGAAAGCGTTTTTTGGAGTAGTATAATTGTGTATCTCATAGATCAACATTTCTGTTTATATATTGTTGATTTTAGAAAAATTAGAACCCTAACACTAATCTACTGAAGGATCTCCAGCCAGAGTTAACACTGAGAAATATATACCTATTATGAGGAAATAAGCAACTTCTAATAAAATTCAGACAGAATCTATTGTGTTTATAAGAAGTTAAATCAATGAAAATAAAAATAGAAGATTGGCCTTTTGCATGAGAGGAAAACAAAAAAAAATCTTTAAATTTATTTATTATGTTTTTTGTGTGTGTCTGCTATCTACCAGCTTTCATGCTAGTTGTAATGTCCTGTTATGGTTTGGATCTGTGTCTCCACCCAAATCTCATACAAATGTTGAATCGTAATCCCCAGTATTAGAGATCGGGCCTGGTGGGAGATGATTGGATTGTGGAGGCAGTTTCTTATAAATGGGTTAGCACCATCCCCTCGGTGCTGTTCTCATAATAGCGAGTGAGTGCTCATGAGATTTGGTTGTTTAAAAGTGTATAGCACCTCCCGTCTCTCTCTCTTACTCCCGCTCCTGCCATGTAAGACATGCCTTCTCCCACTTTGCTTTCAGCCATGATTGTATGTTTCCTGAGGCCTCCCCAGTAGCCGAGCAGATGCCAGCATTATGCTTCCTGTATAGCCTGTGAAACCATGAGCCAATTAACCTTTTTTTTTTATGAATTACTCAGTCTCTGGTACTTCTTAATTGCAATGTGAGAATAGATTAATATATGTCTATATCATTTTAAAACTATAAAGTTGTATCTAATATGAATTGTAGATGCAATTTTTTAAAGGAGATTTAAAGGAGATTCAATGAAGTTAATATCCTAGGTCACATAGCTGGCAAACAATTAAATTTAAGTCTGTCTGATTCTCTCTGTTTTCTCCAGTTTTTAAATAATGCAATTATAATCATAGTAACAATCCAAATAGGGAAGTACATGCCAACTTTTCTGCATGCATTATTTCATTAATCTTTATAATAGCCATATGAGGTACAGGAATTTTGAAAAGTTAGACATAAGTTGTTCTATCTGACTCCAGTGCCTGAACTCTTACCATATCATCCAGTTTTCCTAAAAACCCTTAGCTGTATTGGAGTCTGGCATTCTACTTTATACAAATACTCTTTCCAATATAGTTATATTAAATAGTTATATTAGAAATCTGTGTAATCAACATGTGCAGAGCAGCTGCTATGTGCATAGCATTGCAATGGTGCTCAATCCACTTTTTTGTTTTTCTTTCTGTCATAGAGACATGTAATTAGATTGTGTATTTTTGTTTTTATTTATTTTTTTGCCTAATGAATTGGAGTCATACAGAGTGTGAGTAGAAAGAATAGGAAGAATCCCACAATCAAGAAATTTATAGGCTCATAAAAAGTTGGACAAGTACATATTATTCCTTACTTTAGAAATTACTCTCTTCCAGGAAATTATAATCTTTTTATCGGTTAGAAGATCACAATTACAATCTCCATAACACTTATTGAGTAGCTATGTGTCTGAACCATGTGGATCAGCATTCTCAGCGTTTGATGAACTTCAGTAAAGTGCAATCATATGTGAGTATAGTGGTCATTTGATAAATTGATGATAGAATTAGAAGAATTATAGGCAAATATATTGTTATTTAGAGGAGTTACTGCTTAAATCTGGGTCAGCCTTCAAAGAAGATGCTCTCTGAGCCTGGTTTTAAAATAACAGAAAACTTTTCCAAGGGGACAAAGTTGAAGAGGATTTTCAGATGTGGCCTAATATCTATAGTCACAGCTGGTATTGGAAAGTACAGTTCATATTCTGGAAACAGAAAGACATTAGGGTTGTTTGGCATTTAGAAAAAGAGATTTGGAAAGAGAGAATGGGGGTCTTCAATGTTATGAAATTTGGAATATGTTCCAGAGACAAATAATATCGGTCATATTTTAGCAACAGTGTAGTGACTTTATAAAACATTTGTTTTAAATATTAATATAAAGGTGGGAGAGACTGGAGGCAGAGAGATTATGTGACAGAACGCCATAAGGAACCTGTTAAGAGAAAATAAAGACTAAACCATCTTATTGCCTTGAAATAAAGGACATAGAGGATGGCTGTAGAAGGCCTGTGTTTGGGATAAATGCAGAAATTCTTTTTTAAATATAATTAGCAGAGAGGATAATCTATTGGCAACATTCAGTGGAGAGTTCAAGAACAGAAAAGTAAAAGTGGGGCTCATATTTGTTCATAAGCGCATATGTTCTAAAGAATTGAAGCTAATGAACACATAACCAAAAGCAGGGAGAGTTTGTAGAATAGCTAAGAAAAGAAGAGAGTCAAGAAACAAAGAAATCTTAAGGAGTAACTTAAGGAGACACAGTTCGACAACATTTGGAGATGGTAGATTAGTTCTCTTATAAGAGTTCTTGAAGTATGGTATAATTGTCTTTATTTCTCATTAATTATTAATAGATTTATCTTTAATGGACTTTAATTTGATTTTACTCTATCTTAAAATATTCTTTCATTAAATCACCTCCTTCCTCTCATCCTCTGTTCTGAGAGATTATATTTGTGTCTTTATTAACACTAGATTACTGATCTTGCACTCCACACCACTGCTTATTTTCTTATCTTTTTAAATTCATCTCTAAGCCAGAATAAAGTTCACACATGGACAATTACATCTTTTATACAAAACAGAAGGAAAATTTTCCCTAACTTAGTCAACTTCAATTTAGTTGCTTACCAGTATGAATACCTGTTACAGTAGATATTTTCCATTACTAACTTAAGAATAGGCCACTCTAATTATTTAGATTTTTTTTTTCTTTCTTTTTTTAGACAGAGTCTTGCTCGGTTGCCCAGGCTGGAGTGCAATGGCACCATCTCAGCTCACTGCAACCTCCCCCTCCTGGGTTCAAGCAATTCTCCTGCCTCGACCTCTCGAGTAGCTGGGAGTACAGGCGCGTGACACCACACCCAGCTATTTTTTTGTATTTTTAGTAGAGACGGGATTTCACCATGTTGGCCAGGGTGATCTCAATCTCTTGACCTCATGATCTGCGTGCCTCAGCCTCCCAAAGTGCTGGGATTACAGGCGTGAGCTGCCACTCCCGGCCCTAATTTCTTAGATTTTTAAGTTACTGCTTCTTTTATTGATAGTATGCTTTTCTTCTTTTCTTGGGTGGACTCCTTCAAGTTTCAGTTTAGGTGAGATTTCTTCTATTAGAATATTTCTTACATCAAATTGACTTGTCTCTTAATTCTGTCTACACTGCACAGTTTATACTTCTCTTGTATTGATTGCTTAAAATGCATTTCTTATCTCCATAATATATTTTAATCTTCTTGTGTATAGGAATCATTTTTATTTTTCCATGAATAATCCACTGCACAGTCTTAAGCACATAGTAGACACTCATTTAATATTTGCTCAAATCAACTGCATTGTACTCGTGCCATTGTGACTTTTACTGAGTTCAATATTGGCCTCTATCTATCACTATCATTCTTCCCTTTAAGAACTATCTCTGGTGTGGCATGATAAATAGGAATTATTCTAATCAGTCCCAGTCAAGTCTGGAAGCAGAAAGCAAAATGCTCAATTGAGGGCATGTGGCCTAAGAAAAAAGCTCTTCTGTGGGAAAAGCAAGTAGTCATAAAACATGTGGCATTATTGTTCTTCAAATTTATAAACAGTTTGTAACCAAATTTCTTCATTTCTACTGAGGGCTGAATCAGAGGAAATGGGTTCATTCTGAAGCCAGGTGGATTTTATATAAAGAAAAATTATATTTCTGTACCCAAAGATATTAAACTGGAAAAGCTTGAAGAAAGGGAATATTTAGACAACCTTAACTCATTCCCCATCTGTCTGAGATGGCCTGCCTTTCCGAGCTATTCTGAAATTGCTGACATCACTACATCCTTTCAACTCTAGACTCGATTTCAAGACCCTTAATATTAAACTCTAGTTCTTTGTCAGGATTTGTTATCCTGAATCATAATGAAACCATGGAAAATTTTTGTCACAGCTGAGTTCAAATAAATGTTGGCAGAATTTACTCCAAATTAAGTCTGTAAAATGGATAAGCACCTGACTGACTTACTCTATTCAGCACCTAAAAACGCTTTATAAGAGTATCCTCTCTCATGGCACTTAAGAATTTCCTGTTTTATTCCTGGCAGGAAATTTTACTGCTTGCACCTTTCGGGAACGTTGTAAAGAAAACTAAGCAGTTGTTGTAAAAAACGTGAGGAAATTTTACAGTACTCTATAAATATTAACTAATGACCAAATTAATTGTAGAAATTCCAAGTAATAAAAACATGAACCAAACAGTATAGCATCTAAGGGAAAGTTTGACTAAAGTTGGTTTTGCTGTAAAAAATCTCTTGGATTTTCCTAATATTTCCTTTTCTTCATCCTTTAAGTACACGGCATAGTCCATAATGTTTTAAATCTGCATCAGATAATTGAATAATTGCTGAAAGATCTATGGGTAAAGGAAAATGTGAGTATTTTACCTTGCAGCTATGGTTTATATTATGTCAAAATATTTCCTTTTATGGCTGATAAACAACAGTATTTGCCCTGAGATGTGAAATCGTGTTGTGCTAATAAAAGTAAGAATAAAGTAAAATAATGACATTCTAACAAGAAAATTAACAATATAACAAATACACCAAATTGCACTAGCTTACAATTACTGCAGTACTTTCCCAGTTTTTGTGTTTTGTGCTTTCTTCTGAATGAGGAGAGGTATGAAATGCTTGCATATTGCATGATTTTAGATTTTACTGTCTCCACCTTCTAACTACCTCGGCTCCCTCTACTACCTCTCAGTGATACCTAGTGCTGTGACATAGAAAGACAACAATCTCCTGGAGTTTTGGAATAACATGATGCCCTGATAACTTTGGGAGTCCTTATACGTACTCAACAAGACCTAATTTTCCCCAAGAATCCTTGCTGTGGGGGTACAGGAGCACTTAACTTCAGGGGCTCCAGGGCTTGCATCAATTTGAATTTACCTTTTTCCCAGGGGATCTGTCTTTCTGATGCATTTGCTTGGCTTACTCTTTGTTAGTGCCTAATTGGGACATTTGGGCCAGTGGCGATGAGGGTGCCAAGGGTGCCAGAGGCACTTGATGGCAAACCTTGGCCAGAGCTCCCAGGTGGAGTTTAGGTCGTGATTTTTCACACCTGCCCTATTACCCCTGCCATGTGGAAAACTGCCCAGAGTGCTTCTAGAGTCAAGGCAGTGAAGTTTTTATTGCCCTTAGGCAACCGCAGTGAATGATTTGTTTTATGGCTGAATTCTCTTGAATGACCTCAGAACTTTGGGCAAGCGATTCAGAATGCCAGCAGGTTGGAGCGGAAACCCAGTGGCCTCTCTTTTTCTGGGTCTGCTCCTCAGTTACGGTGAAAATTGGAATGAATGGAATAGGGTTTGCCATGCATGGCAGCAGGGCATGATGTAGTTCTCAGAAGGAGACATAGCTGGGTGGACCATTTATAATTTTAATTGCCTATGTAGTACAGGGCTCAGCTGCATCACAGAGCAGAAACTGGGGAATGTTCACTGCTAAATGGATCCTCAGAGTCTTGCTTTACTTTCCAGGCTGTTGTCCCTTTTACACAGATTGGCTTTTTAGTCTTCCACACATGTTTTCCCTCTTGTCAAAATCTTAACCCTAGACAACTATTGGTTGCTTCATTATTTTAAAATTTAAAGAACACTACATTTAACAAGCAAAGAAAAAATTACCAGGAATTTGGCCAGAGTAATTAAGCAGCAGGTGTTACAAGGGAAGTTTATGTCCATCCTTACCTTGAGAAGAGTATAAACATTCTGTTTTTTGATTGGTTAAATGAGGTGTTTTCTTCTTTTTAAGTTTTGGAAAGACCATGGAACCTACATCATTTTGCCTAGGTACTAAGCCTCCAGCTCCGGTAAATGCATTCCAATAATGTCTTCAGCCAGCAGCATATTGGCCTTAGATATAGAAAACTCAATGCTTATTTTACCTAATTGCTCCTTTTCATGCAACCTAAACTTTTAAAAAGGATTACCTATCAAATGTTGACAAAAAGTTATTTTCTGCCTACAAAATGTAATACAATATTACAGGCATGGTTTTGTATTACTCAAGATGTCAAGTACCTATAAGGTCAGGTAGTGAAAGAGAAAGAGAAAAAAACACCCCAGATTGGAAATATTGGGAAATAGAAAGGGTGGCTTTATCTAAAGCTGGCTGTGATAACTCAGCTCCAGCTGATTTAGCCCTAAGATAGTTCATACTTTTTACTTCTAAGGAAAATTCAGAAACTGACATTTCTCTCCTATTTTTAAAATAGTAACATCAAATTTATTTACGTTTTAATTTTGGAGGGAGTTTTGATAGACAGACTCATCCATGAGTTGACAGTTTATGATCTCTATCTTAAAGCCAGACGGAAAAAATAGGAGTTAGATTAAGAAATTATTATTGATGACCTAACAGAGTGAGAGTTACTATATGCAGAGCCTTTTGTATTCTCTCATTTACTTTTATAGTATTGGAAAGATATATAAAGAGGTGTCAAACGCCCTTTTTAGGGAGGTTTAACTGTGGACCATAATTTCTTTTTTGCCCTTATTAGAGAAAGGGCCTTATATGTCTGCTAAGCATTCCCAAATTGTCATCAGGAATTTATTTCTTATTCAGCTCCTTTGCAATATTCTTTTTAATACCCTCCCAGCAGCCTGCCTTGAAAAAAAAATAAGCCTTTCCTTTCTGTACGCGGCTTGGTTACAAGAAGGGAAAAGGGTTTAGAGCTATACAACATGAATGTTCATGCGACACAACGCTACTTCAATCAGGAAAGGCTTCCCAATCAACTGCACCGATGTCAGTCGTTCCCCCCTCCTCCATGATAAATTTCTTCTTTCCTCTGTGCATTCAATATTAACAGACTTCTCCTTGCATTTAAATCCTAGTGCGGCCATGATTTTTAACTTCCTAAGCCAATTCAAATACACTTGCATGCAGCTATTTTTGAATTGAGAAATACATTTGATTTTCCTGCATATGCCCAGAGGACAGCATCTGTCAATTCCACTCCTAATTTTTCTTGGCACATCTCACATGAGGATCAATATTTATCCTGATAAAATCTACATGCTGTTTTGAAGATGAGTTTTCTTTTCCACTCTTGTCTGCAGATGCATATGCTGTTTGCTTACTTTTTTTTTGAACTTCATTATCAGCCACAACAGAAGGAGATTGCCACTGGATCTACTTATAGCTAGTGTGCGTATTACCTCCTTTTCCAAGTCCTTCTTATTAAAGGAAGTAGGAAATATCTCTCCAGTGAATATCATACAGTAAGAAGATAATACATTTACAAGGAAAAATAAGCCACATTTTGATTTTTGCATCTCTAACAGTTTTAGTCACTCCATTTACCTTGATTTGATCAGCATTCTTAGTTTATCTTCTCTCAGCCACGCTTACAGTTTCTATGACGTGATGCTATTCATTTTCAAGCCAATTTGAATTAAATCTTCAGTAAGATAACTTGAGGCAATGTACTAAAAAATTTAGCAATTACTAAATTCATTACATCTATTGCATTTTATTTGTGTAATAATTGAAACTCTTGGCAACAAAATCAACATTAAAGCAATAATTTCAGCCCTTTTCTCCATATTCTCTTTATCTTTCGGGCATTCACAATAGACTTCCCTGTGTCTTTCTGATAATCTACATCTGCATGATTTACATCACAATAATTTTTGTGATTGTATCCCAGATGTTTCATATTATTTCTCTATTCCCTTAACCTCCACAGCTCAAATCAACCTCTGCCCATTGCTGTATTTTGGGCCACATATTTATACATTATTTTTAAGGCAAAAAACTGACACTAAAAACAATTTTGGTTATCAGAACTTGAGTTTCAATTCTTTCATACTCATAAATAATAGCACATAGCATAGAAATCTGTGTGGATATACTTTGATGCAGAACAAAATATAACATATGTGACATATGATTTTAAATTAAAAACTTTCCTCCCAAATGTCTCTGTAGAATAAATCATTGTAAGAAATGTCCATTTCCCCTTCATCATTAAAATGCCTCCTTTCCAAAACTTTAACTCTGAGTCAGCTAGTGACTCTGTCTCTCCGGAGTCCATGTCACCAGCACACAGAAGCTTGTCCCCGTTGTTCAATACAGTTTACAATTTTACACAACTTTAACCATTACTAATCTCCACAAAGCTGAAAAATATAGAAGTGAGATGACATTTGTAGAGCCACAGAGTTTCAATTTAATATTTTTCTATATTTCCTTAAGTTTCTCTCATCTTACCCTATGTTTCCATACTTCAGCACTGATGGAAATGCGGCATTTTAATCTTTTTTTTTTTTTGGTCTTACATTTTTATTCTTTCCTTGAAGCAAGGAAAATGTGAACTTAACTGCTGGGATGCCTAATTTGAAGTGACTTCAAGTGGTAGATATTAATGAAGTGTAAAAAGCCTAAAGCCAGAATAGTTTTAAACCCCTTTTTATTATACAGCTTAAGCTTCAGTTATACCTGAGAGCCTTCTTTATTGTTTCATGGAGGCTCTATTTTCCTCCAAATTTTCATTTATGTCTAAGCTTGATGTGCACATTTGGTATGTCATCGTCTTTTCAATTTTTAGTGTAAAATAACTTGCATGTATTTGTCTAAGTATATGTGTGTGGTATATTCATCCTAGTTTCACAAATAGCTTAATAAGTATAGTATCTCCTGAAAGAGTGACTTTACTGGTTAGGGGGGAAAATGGGATTTATTTTTAGCACCCATTTACGCTTTGATCTTACCTATACTTATAATTCTTATTCCCTAAAAAGCATTCCTCTTAGTAATTATTTACAATGCTTTTGAAAAGGCAGAAAATTCTGTGCTTAACATTTCATGATTGGCCTCAGTCCAGATGCAGCCCCTCCATGTCTCTCACTTGGCATTCTGACATATGCATCTGGCTGCTGCTTGTCATGTATTAGTTTAATTTGGTATTAGCTCAGGCCATCTTCTTTTTATCTGTATATATTACATTGCTATTCTTTATTGCAGCATCTGTGCCTTAAGCACATAGGAATGTAAGGCATGGTGACAAGATCAGCAATCCAGGCCCTTGATAATAAAATGGCTTTTTTTTCCCCTAAAGATAATGCAATAATTATATTCCAAAAAATCCATGTTTGTAAAAATTTGAAGAGTTTTTGCCAAATTGCTCTTTATTAACTTAGAAAAGTTTAGTCTATCCGTCTTTTGTTTGTTCTTAATCCCTCAAAACGACAGTAAGAAGTTATACATGTTTTCTTGTGAGACTTTTTAAATATGTCTATTTAGTAAACGTCAATTGTATACAAAGTAGACAGAACAGTATCATGAGCCTTGTGCACGCATTGCCAAGTGCCTGTAACCGTCAACTCCTGCCAACCCTGCTTCATCCATGCCTTTAGACACTTCTCCTCCTCCACTCTTAATCTGCAGCAAGTCTCTAACATTAAACTATTTCACCAATAACTACTCAGTTTGCATTTCTATGATAAAAGTATTCTCTTTAAAATAAAACAAAATATTATCTTTTTCAAAAAATTAACAAGAAGAATTTAACATCAAATAGCCAATCCGTTCAAATTCTCAATTAACTTATAAATGTCCTTTGTTTAAAAATATAATATCAACTAAATTAAACTCCTGGTATATTGATTGATATGTTTCTTAATTCTTTTCTTAAAAATACTTTAATTTTAGAATAGTTTTAGATTGATAGAAAAACTGTAATAATAATACTGACCGTTCCCATATTTCCCGGACCCAGTTTCCTCAATGATTAACATCTTATGTTCATATGGTACATTTGTCACAATAAATGAGCCCCATATAAATACGATATTAATATTATTAGCTAAAGACTACACTTTATTCAGATTTTTGTAATTTTTTTTCTGTTCTAGGCTCCTATCCAGAATCAACATTGCTATTATTACTTCAAATATTTTTTCTACTCTATTCTTTCTTTCTTCTTCTTCTGAGATTACAATTATATGTATGTTACACCTATTAAAATTGTTCCATAGTTCCTGGATATTCTGTTCTCCTTGTTTGTTTGTTTTTTTCCTTTTGTTTGCATTTCAGTTTGTGAAATTCCTGTCAATCATCTGTTTTAAAGCTCATTGATGATTTTTTTACAGCCATGTTTAGTCTACTGATAAGCCCATTGAAGGTATTATTTGTGTTTTTTTCCCCCCTAACGATTTTTTTTTTTTTTTTGAGTCAGAGTCTCACTCTGCCACCCAGGCTGGAGTCCAGCGGCATGATCTCAACTCACTGAAAACTCTGCCTCCCAGGTTCAAGTAATTCTCATGCCTCAGCCTCCGGAGTAGCTGGGATTACAGGCATGTGCCACCATGCCCAGCTAATTTTTGTATTTTTAGTAGAGGTGGGGTTTCACTATGTTGGCCAGGCTGGTCTTGAACTCCTAACCTAAAGTGATCCACCTGCCTTGGTCTCCTAAATTGCTGGGATTACAGGTTTGAGCCACTGTACCCGGTCCCTGTCCACTGATTTTTCTGTGTTGCCTTCTTTTTTCATTAAAGTGCTTAGCATATTAACCAAAGTTATTTCAAATTTCTTGCCTGATATTTTCTATATCTATGTCATGTCTAAGTTTGGTTTTCATGTTTGTCTCTAGATTGTATTATTTTTTGCCTTTGTCATGTTTTATAATTTTTTGTTGTGTTGGGTAACAGGGATGTTATATAGAATGTTATTGTGAGAATTTATATTAATCTAGCTGGGAGTTTCTATAGCTACAGAGGGCAGAGCTTCAAGTTCCTTTAGAGTCCTTGCTTTTCTCTCTCCTGACTTTGTTCTTCCTGTATTCCTTCTCAGAGACAGTCTGTGTTTTGCAACTCCTTCTGTTGCAATGCACTCTTATATTGGAGACTATTGGCTTGAGGTAAGGTTTGGGGTAGGGGAGTCTTCTATGATTTGCATTCTATTAAACCTGTCTTTTAGCAGACTTGTCTTAGTGGCTTTCAAGAGTGCTTCTTCAATGATATAGCTTTTTTTTATTAATTTTTTTTAACTCTACCTTTTACTTCCTTCCCTGCTGAAGCATTGCCAGTCTACTTCCTTGAATGCCTGACCCCTGTTGACTATGTTGTTTTTTCTTCCTTACACAGGAGATGAAGGATAGACGGTTCAGAGAGATGCTCTTCCCCAAGGTAGAAGGCTCTGGCAAAGTTTTTCCCCCGGAGGGTAAAGCCAAATATGGAGAAGGCTTTGGTTATATTTCAAAGGATTAGCTTTTTTCCACTGTAAAACTCATGATGGAATCTTTGTCAGATCTTCACTGTGAGAACCTGGAGACAAACCCTAAGAAAATGTTGGGCTCCCCTAAGACCACAACCTCCCAGAGTTTCTCACTGGTACTAGTCCACACTCAGCCCCCAGCAATTCATTAAAGTTACAATTCAACTAGAGTTTCAGAGGCTTCTTTCATTTCAGGTAAGCAGATTGGGCTGTGTTCCTTGGGATACCTCTGTCTTCAAATTTTAGAGAGGTAGTTTGTTGTACCATGTTGTTTCTCTGATAGTTTCACAAAAAGTCATTGATTTTTATTATTTTCAGCTTTTTCTTATTGCAAGAATGTGAGTGATGACTTCAAAACTCTTCTCAGATGGAAATCAGAAGTCTTCTCTTAATTAGCTTCTATTCTATAGGTTCCACTGTCTTTTTTCTTTGTCTTTTTTTTTATCTTTGATATTTATGTGTTGAAGAAACTCACACATTTTTTCCTGTTGAATTTTCCACACTGTGGATTTTGCCGATTACATCCCTGTGTTACCATTTAGCATGATCTTCTGTCCTCTATTTTTGTCTGTGAATTGTTAGGTGGATCTAGAATATTTTGGTGAGATTATTTCAGAGGTGAAGTTGTGCTGTTCAGGAAGCCCATCATATCTAATTTGTGAAGTTAACAGCCATCGATGATTTATACCTAATCCATTAATTAATTATGGGTTGCAAAGTGGTGATTATCTTCTTTCATTATAACTTTTTGATTTATTGGCTGCAATATTTCTGAAAGAGAAGCATTCCTCATTTATCATTTGGTTACCTAGTTGTACAGCCTTTAAAGGAAAGACTGGATACATGCCAGATTCTTTTCTTTGACATGTCAGTTTTCAAAATAAAAATTTAGTTTTCTAGAATCCTCTCAAATGGATATATATGACTGTATACATTTGAACATATTTGATGGAGTTCCATCCCTGACAGGTTTAACCTCATTAATATTCAAGTATTGTTTCATCTTTAGATGCAAACCTAAGTATGGAAACCTAATACTTAGGCTTACTCACATACCTCTTCTTGTGAGCTTCATGGCTATGTTGTAGTCTCGTGTTGTACATTTCCTGCTCCAGATCTAAAATAAATCATTTCACTGAACTGTCCCTTTTTTTTTTTTTTTTTTTTTAGTGGAAACTGGTATTCCAAAACTGCCATCTGGGCACTTGCAGTGCCCATTGCTTCTGAGCTGGTGATTGCTTCTAGACTTTTCAGCAGATGGAACTAAAAAGTTACAAAAACAAAACAAAACAAAACAAAACAGAATAAAGATAAAATCAAGCAAACAATAGCAGTACAGATGCTCCTCAACTCACGATGGGGTTACATCCTAATAAACCCATCATAAGTTGAAAATATCGTAAGTCAGAAATGCATTTAATGCAGCCAATCAACCAAACATCATAGCTTTGCCTAGCCTACTTTAAATGTGTTCGCAATACCTATATTAGCCTATGGTTGAGCAAAATCATCTAAGACAAAGCATATGTTACAGTAAAGTGTTCAATATCTCATGTAATTTATCGAATACTATATTAAAAGTGAAAAATAAGTAGTTGTATGGGTACTGAAAGTATGATTTCTACTGAATGCATACTGCTTCCACATCATCAGAAAGTTTGAAAATTTGTTATGTGGAACCATTGTAAGCTGGAGACTTTCTGTTATATGTGTATATATGTACATACATGTGTATGTGTGCATACATATACGTACACACATATACATACAGAGTCATATGTATAATACATACAGTATGTATGTGTATGTATGTATATAGTTGTTTGCTTACATTTTTGCTTTGCTTTTATTATTTGAGGATAGAATACTTTATGAATTACTTTCTACTTATCCAATAAATTAAAATAAATGAGTGAATTTATTTAATTTCTTCAATCTTACATCTCTCCACATTTTTTTCCACATTGAGAATCTCAGCAATGATAGAGTTGGAATATTACTTGATTCTTCATTTGTTTTATCCCACATTATACACATTAATTGTCTCTAAATCACAATGCTGACACAAGAACAATGATATAATTACTGAAAACGGTTTACAAGAGTGGTGTTTTTTTTTTCTTAAGTTCTTTGTGCTCTTAAGTCATACCACATTAGGGAAGTATACTCCAATTACTGTTTTTTACAGTCATTTGAAATAATTCCTCTTGAAATGAATATGCTGCCAATAGGATACACATTTGATTTGAGTCATTTTATTTTTAATTTTTAGGGATTTCTCTTTCCTTAATGTTGTTTCACAATCATACTAAACTTTGTAATTATACAATTATATATTTTCATTCTTTCCTATTTCTGATAGGTTACCATATCTACATTGTCAAAACATACAGCTGCTTCATGCTATAATCCATGCCTTATAACAATGTTTATTACTAATCCTATATATTAAACGCTCATCACCAATCCTCTTGTGGTTTCTCCTTTCATTTTGGTTGTCTAAAGTCCATTCTCTAGTAAATGCTTTATAAAATGCTAACAGAAACATAATTTTCCAAGTATTTGATTGTCATAAAGTTTATCTAAACACTTTATAGTTGAAATTCAGTTTGCTTGGATCAAATCCTAGGTTCATAGTTCATTTTCTTAGGTATTCTGTTATCCCTTATCTTCCCTTAGGTATCCCTCACCTTCTGCTATAACATACTGTTATTGAAAAGTCTCATGATAATCTAATTTTCTTTCTCTAGTGAGAATTTTCATGTTTTTGCTTAGATGTAAGATGAATTTTTTGTTTTAATTTTAGTAATTTTATTAGACATCGTCATTATTGGTTATTCTGGGTCTATTTGTCTATATTTGTGTTGTACTCTTTTATTTGTACTTTTAAGTCTTTTTATTTTTTTTTAATTTTAGGAATGTTCTTGCATTATAACTTTTATTATTTTTTGTTCTCTGATTTACCTTTTTATTTCAGGGAATCATAACATGTATCTTGAATCATTTTTATCTGTCTCCTACATCTGTTACCATTTCTCATATTTTTATATAGCATTTTTTTATTTTTTGTTTATTTCAAAATATTTCCTTCTCTTTACCTTTGTCCTTCTCAGTCATAATCTGTTATGCTTACATGTTCTTGTGTTTTTCCTAGTTTAGTCTTCAGTTCTAAATAACTTTTCTAAATCTTTCCCAGTTCTATAATCTCAGTTCTAAATTTTTTCCACTCTGCCTTATGTTGTCACTCAAATAATTTAAAAAAAATTATTTCAGTTCATTTTGAAAGATTAGATTACAGTGCTTTCTGATTTATCCATGTGTCTATCAGCCTATTCTACATCAATCATAATGACCTAAAATGGATCATGTTTACTGAGAGACTGTGATAAAGCAGTTACTCGGCATATATCATTAAATGTTGAATGGAACATTCCTATCTACTTTAGTCCACACACTCCCTTCCTTCTTTTTTTTTTTAGTTTTTTTTGAGACGGAGTCTCGCTCTGTCACCTAGGCTGGAGTGCAGTGGCGCAATCTAGGCTCACTGCAAGCTCCGCCTCCCGGGTTCACGCCATTCTCCTGCGTCAGCCTCCCGAGTAGCTGGGACTACAGGCGCCCGCCATCGCGCCCGGCTAATTTTTTGTATTTTTAGTAGAGATGGGGTTTCACCGTGGTCTCCGTCTCCTGACCTCATGATCTGCCCGCCTTGGCCTCCCAAAGTGCTGGGATTACAGGTGTGAGCCACCCCACCCGGACCCTTCCTTCTAATAACGCTATGGGTTTTATTTATAAGGTCTTCATTCACTTTATAAGATTCGAGAGAACTTTGTTCCAATCTTGGCTCTGCTGCTACTTTTAATAGGTAATTTCAAACAAATGACTTAATTTTTCTGAATCTCAATCTTCCTCAATAAAATATGGTTAATGTCTATTTATAAAATTATAGAAATTAAATAAATGTAAATGCTTAACACAGTGCCTCACTCTATGAATGGTTGTTACTTTTGTTATTACTTGATTAATCTTGGTATAAATTATTAAATCTGCTCAGTAAAAGTGCTCAATCATCTCTTTTCAGTAATGTGAAAATGACATTTTCTTCTAGCTCAGTAATACCATATTTTTCATTGATAATTTAAATTCTTATTCATGATATACTTTCATGAATATGAAAGTTGGGCTTTTCTAGCCCAACCTTATTTTCCCTATCTTACTGGTTACTTTAATTTTAATTGTATCATTATTCTGACTTTTTTTCCAATGAGACAAAATTCCTCACGTGCCATGAAGTTGCTCAGTTCTGAATTACTGCCAAAAATTGAAGATATGCTTTACAACACTTGCAGATAACACCTATGCCATATATGTGGACAAAATGAAGAGAAGGAGGCTGTGGGTGAAGGCTGAAATCCCTGTATGATAACTCTGCACCTACCATGATTCTTTTCTCCACTCATAACTTGTATTTCCTCCTTGCTTTTATTTACTTTTTATTTTATAGCATGTTCTGATTTCAAACACATTTTTTCTCTTTTATTGTTTTATTGGCCCTAAGTTGGAGACACAAGGCATTTAAACAAATGGGTGGAAGGGGAGAGAAGGGACTATTATCTAACTGTTCCCTATAGTCCTGTCTACATTCACACTTGCAGACTGTGTATGAACCAACTGAACTATGTAACCAGGTTCATTTACAGTGTTTTGAGACAGGTTGATTTGAGTTCCGGGTGCAGATAATGCGGTGGATTTTTGTTTCATTTCAGTTTTGTTTTTTAAACATATTCATTTAGATGATGATTCATATATCCAAGGCTGTTGCAGATCTGTTTCCACACATTGTGGGTATAAGGTAATGATTACTTGTCCTGATTGTGTACCAGGATATTTTGAGAAATATGAGCCCCACTCCCAAGTCAGTTTTATTCGGGAGGTTAAAAAACAAAGGCATAGTCATTAATATCCAGATTTATTATTCGCTATGAAATGTACTAGTTGAATAGGCTTGGACAAGTTACTCAATTTCCATGAGAATTATTTGATTTTTAAAATGAAATGATGGTAATAAAATATCTGTAACAGTTTTAGAAAGCCACTTATCATGGTACTTGGAGAGAGCATGTTTTAATAGCAAATATTAATATTCCTAAAAATACATTCAAATTGTGGAAGTTGACTGAGCAAAGGTGTTGATTTATGAGATGCAGAAATTCAAAGTCAACTTTAGAATAAGTACCTTTTCTGCTCCAGCTCGTTTGTTTCATTTCCTAAATTTATCTGAGACACAAAAATAATTGACTGTACTCAGTGGCATTTGAAGATAGTTTTCCATCTTTATCCCTCCATAACTATTCAATAGTAGATCAAAGAAAGAAAGAAAAATCACAGATCTGAAACTGATCCTAGCACATTCTCCAGAGAGGAAATGCTACCAGTACTTGCTGCGACTGGGTCGCTGTCCCTGCACTTTGGCTCTCACAGTAACGGCTGATGCTCAGCTGGAAGAGAGTGGCCTCCTGGGCACCCTACTTTTAGGGTAGAAATGCTTATAGTTCATCTATGCAGCTTTCTGGAGTTCATGGACTTCACAGTTATCATCCACATGTCTTTGTTAACTATTCTCACTGGGAAAGTATATATTTGGTGTTTAAACCATTTTTTTTTTTATCTACTCCCTAATCAATTACGTCAGCAAAAGAGGAAAAATCTATTTTAGAGGATATAAAGGGATATAAAACAAAGACAGATTTCAAAATTTCTATCATTTTTAAAATGTGTAGAGAAAGCAAATTTGAATAATTCATTATAAGCCAATTTGAGAAAAATATTCCATCAAATACATCTTTTTAACTGTATTAACAATTTAGTATTGCCAGAAAGTAATTCCTTCAGCAGATGTGTTGCTCACCAAAATCATCCTAACCTCATACACATAAATAAAACCCTTATTTCATACTTTTTGCCTAGTTTCTGGTCCAGTTCTAATATTTACCTTACTTTATTTAAAACATTCTATACAACATGTTCTATATTTTTCTTTTATTAATTATGTCTAAGATAATGCCAACTATACTCATTTCATTTCATTTCTTATTCATTATGAATCTTTCTAACATCCACTTACAAATGTTTCTATTGCCTTTCTCCTCTTTCTTCTGTGTCCGGAATTTATTCCTTCTGGTAGGTTCTTGTTCTCGCTGACTTCAAGAATGAAGCCATGGACCCTTGCAGTGAGTGTTACAGTTCTTAAAGATGGTGTGTCCGGAGTTTTTTCCTTCAGATGTTCAGATGTGTCCGGAGTTTCTTCCTTCTAGTGGGTTCGTGGTTTTGCTGACTTCAGGAGTGAAGCCACAGACCATCGCAGTGAGTGTTACAGCTCTTAAACGTGGTGCGTCTGGAGTTGTTCGTTCCTCCCAGTGGGTTCGTGGTCTTGCTGACCTCAGGAGTGAAGCCACAGACCTTTGCAGTGAGTGTTACAGCTCATAAAGGTAGTCCGTGGACCCAAAGAGTGAGTAGTGCAAGATTTATTGTGAAGAGCTAAAGAACAAAAATTCCACAGCGTGGAAAGGGACCCAAGTGGGTTGCTGCTGCTGGCTGGGGTGGCCAGCTTTTAGTCCCTTATTTGGCCCTGCCCACATCCTGCTGATTGGTCCATTAAACAGAATACTGATTGGTCCATTTTACAGAGTGCTGATTGGTGTGTTTACAAACCTTTAGGTAGACACAGAGCACTGATTGGTGTGTTTTTACAGAGTGCTGATTGGTGCATTTACAATCCTTTAGCTAGACAGAAAAGTTCTCCAAGTCCCCACCAGACCCAGAAGTCCAGCCAGCTTCATCTCTCACTTCTTTTTAAATTTTACATATATCTTGGAACATAACATTTTTTGGCTTGCCATTCTATTCCCCCCTCCACCTTTAACATACTACCTTTTTCATTTAAACAAACTTGAGCTTTTATTCTGCTTTCTTTGCTTTCAAGAGACACATTTTTGAGAGTTTTTGTTTTTGCTTAACTTCAATTTAATTTAATTATTTAATTATTTTATTTTTTTGAGATGGAGTCTCCCTCAGTCATCCAGGCTGGAGTGTAGTGGCACAATCTTTGCTCACTGCAACCTCCACCTCCTGGTTCAGGTGATTTTCCTGCCTCAGCCTTCCAAGTACACACAGGCATGCAGGCATGCGCCATCACATCCGGCTAATTTTTGTATTTTTAGTAGAGATGGGGTTTCGCCATGTTGGCCAAGCTGTTCTCAAACTCCTGACCTCAAGTGATCCACCAGCCTTGGCCTCCCAAAGTGCTGGGATTACAGGCGTGAGCCACTGAACCCAGCCAACTTTTATTTTAAGTTCAGGAGAAATGTGCAGGTTTGTTATATAGGTAAAATTGTGTTATGGGAATTTGTTGTACAGATTATTTCATCACCCAGGTACTAAGCTTAGTACCCACTAGTTATTATTCCTGATGCTCTCCCTCCTTCCACTCTCCACCCTGATAGGTCCCAGTGTGTGTTGTTCCCTTCTATGTGTCCATGTGTTCTCATCATTTAACTCCCACTTGTAAGTGAGATTTACATGTGGTATTCGTTTTTTCGTTGCTGTCTTAGTTTGCTGTGGATGATGGCCTCCACCTCCATCCATGTTCCTGGGTAGGACATGATCACATTCTTTTTTTTTTTTCTGCATAGTATTCCATGGTGTTTATGTACTACATTTCCTTTATTCAGGCTACCACTGATGGACATTTAGGTTGATTCCATGTCTTAGCTTTCTGAATAGTGCTGCAATGAGCACACACATGCATGTGTCTTTATAAGAGAACGATTTATATTCCTTTGGATATATACCCAGTAATGGGATTGTTGGGTCAACAATATTATAGATCATATTGTATTTCTTTCTTTAGGTCTTTAAGGAATTGCCGCATTGTCTTCCACAATTCTTGAACTAATTTACACCCCCACCAAGAGTGTATAAGCATTCCTTTTTTTCAGCAACCTTGCCAGCATCTGTTGTTTTCTGACTTTTTAATAATAGCCATTCTGACTGGTGAGAAATAGTATCTGCTTTTGATTTGGATTTTCATTCTCTAATGATAAGTGATTTTGAGCTTTTTCTCATATGCTTGTTGGCCATATGCATGTTTTCTTTTAAGAAGTATCTGTTCATGTCCTTTGCTCACTTTATATGAGGTTGTTTAAGAGTTTATTTCCCTTTTGAGTCCATCATATTTTTTCTGTCTTCATTTCTGCTTGATCACATTGTGCTTATCCGCTTACATATTTTATTCTCATGCAGTCTTCTATGTACTCTCTCTACATATATATACATATGTATATATACATATATACATATATATATATTTGGCTTATAACTTCCTAATTTGAATTCCACGACTTTATATATCTCTACAGATTTGCTTTTTTTTTTTTTTCTTTCTTTTTTTTTTCTGAGATAGATCCTTGCTCTGTCACCCAGCCTGGAGTGCAGTGGCGTGATCTCGGCTCACTCCAACCTCTGCCTCCTGAGTTCAAGCAATTCTCTTGCCTCAGCCTTCTGAGTAGCTGGGATTACAGGTACCTGCCCACCACGCCTGGCTAATTTTTGTATTTTTAGTAGAGACAGGTTTTCACCATGTTGGCCACACTGGTCTCAAACTCGTGGCCTCCTAATCTGCTGGCCTCAGCCTCCCAAAGTGCTGGGACTACAGGCATGAGCCACCGTTCCCAGCCTCTTTTATTGTTTTGTTGTTGTTGTTGGTTTTGTTTGTTTTGTGTGTGTGTGTGTGTGTGTGTGTGTAATTTATGAATCTGAGGCAGAGAAGAATGATGATAGGGGAATAGGGGGGCTTAGACTCTGCTTAACTGAGTTCTAACTAGCCTGGAACTATTGAGAAGACAAGTGGTAGTTTCAGAGAAGTAGGTCCGAAAATGGGCTGCATCACTCACTAGGTGTTTGACCACTGACAATGTAAACTTGCTTATTCTCAGCTTTCTCCTCTATCAAATGGAGAAAAAATACTTGGCTTGTACAATTGTTGCTAAATTCTATATGTATACTGGCATATATTGGCCACCCAATAAATTGTAAACACTACTGTTTTTGATTTTTAATAACTGTTAAAATCTATACACTATACAAATTCAGCATTGAGATGTTAACAAGATGAGTTAATTGCTACTTAGATTCAGGTCTCAGATTTTCTTTGTATCCCTAAAAGTTATGAGTGACTCAAAGAGCTATTTTTATATGGGTTATATCTATTAAAAGTAGAAGTTAAGGCAAATAAATTGTCAACATATATATTTATGCATTTATTAAAATAATAATAAATTCATTACCTGTTACACCTTTGCAAATATCACCTGTTTACTAGAAGACAGCCAGTACTCATATCGGCGTCTGTACTCCATCTGTGTAGTATCATATATCACATAGCCTTTGGAGAACTTGATGGTTCACCATGAGAGTATAAAGTAAAAAAGATAGTAAGTTCCATTACTATTAAGAGAATAGATTTGACTTTGTGGGTTCCATGAATAGATCTCAGAATCCCATGGGATCCTCAATCACACTATGAGGATCACTAATTTATAGCAATCATGATCCCTAATTTTTAGTCTTATATTAATGTCCACTTGACTTAAAACCTTGTGGACTTTGGTTAGTTATTTTTGTTGTTTTTTTGCTTATGTATTGGAATTTTAATATAAAAAAGGGGAAGTTTGGACTACATTTTCTCCAAGGTTCCTTTCAGCTCTTAAATTCAATTGTATAAAAATGTTTTATTCATTTTTCAACTTATTATTGTCTTATTTTGGTACAATATTCAACATTTCACTAATTTTTTAAACATTTCATTTTTTTTCAAATTGGGGCAACAAGCTCTCTTTACTTGCCAGCATAGTAAGTGTTGAGTGATATTGCTATATCTGAGTTATGGGGGTATTCAACAGCTCATAGCATTTCCCCCCAAATTGGGTAAACATAATGAATTCAAGAAAGTCTAAGACAGGCTGGATGTGTTCAGCAGTGAGATTTCTTGCTTCACATTAAGGAATTCATGAAACTGCTTCAGTTCTCTAGAAGTTACTTAGTCTCTCTGATAATCAAAATCAGATATGTATGCATTGTGCATTACTTACACATTGGAATTTTATATACCCTGTCCCATTTAGAATGTGAGCTTCATGAAAGCAGAATTTTTTTCCTGTTTTGTTCCTTCCTCAACATCCAGACAAATACTGGCACATTGTAGATGCTCACTAAATGTTTGTTGAGTAGAAAAGGGCATTCAGATATACACTCAAGAATCATAGTATTGTAATTTAATGTTGGCAATGAAATATCAGTAGAAAATTTTCACCGAAATAAGCCAGACTGCTATTACCTTTCTCTCTCTCCTGCCCACATCAGTAACATATCCTGAAAACCAGAACTTATCATTTATTTTTAAAAATAAAAATAATGTGTTGAAATTTTATTTGATTTCTACTAATATGGTGAAAATACTAACTTGCAAATAAAAGCTTCCTAGAACTTTCTCCACAGACAAAATAGTGTAGCTTTAAATTTATGAGGATTGTGGCTTCTGAAAAACAACAACAAAAAATATAAATCATTTCAAATGACCGGGCTTCAAATATCATTTCATTTATGAAAGGATACTCTATTTGAGAGCAGGAATTTTTCATAAAGCTACTCTCTTCACTCTTTCACCTCCTAAATTATTTCTAGGCTGTTACTTGAAATTGGAGTATGGAGTTGAGTTCCAACAAAAATCCTTGGTACTCACTGGCTCTTCTTGTGCTAATCCTTTGTGATTGTGTTGCATTCTGTGCCCAGCTTGGCCTTTGCTCAAGATGTTCAGTTGTTCTGAATGAATCCCTCCATCTTTTTGCATTTCAGCTCAGTGAAATCCCTGGAAACACCTTGAAAACAGGATCTGTATCTTTTCTCTGTATCTCACTAGGGTCTCATCAGGGCCTTCTTGTCTAACAAGGAAGTGCAGGAGAAGAACACATTTCATGAATTAATTCAGTGAATAAATGAAATAATGAAATCAGAAGCAAACACAATGCCCTTCTTGCTCACCTTCCTGTTTTTGGATAATATTATGCTTAATCATCTCTAAAGAATGGAGTGGATCCTCTTAATAAAGTCTGTTAGTCCTTACATTCCTTTGTTAGCAGCAGGCCATAAGCCTCAGTGTTTATAGGAAGGGTGATATCCTTAATGCCTAGCAATCACTTTAGGTTTATTTCTTCCTTTTGGCTTGTGTTCCACAGACAAATTACAGTGTTCAGGCAATTATTGAGATAACTCAGGTAATAAACCTGCTTTTACTAAAAGATCCCTTCCAGTGCAAATGAAAAACAGTTGTTCACAATTAGGTAACATTTTTATGGGCATGGTTGAAATCACCACTTAATTGTTTAGAGGGAGGCAATATGTAAGCCTCAAATACTTAGTATTTTTGCTCTAGTAGATATATCTATTTTTCACCTCTTTTATCATTTTGGTCTTTGGTTTCCTCTGGTTTTCTTGTGGATATTTCTTGTACAATATTTACAAGTTATTTTTTGAATCAGTGTTTTCAGTTCTACCATCTCCATCACTGCTAATATATGCAAGAGATATATTTGTAGAGAACTTTAGCATTAATGGCTGGATTTTAAGGAATCTTTAAAATGCAAGGAAACACAAAAAGGTCCCCCGATAGTACAATACTCCCTGAAGACTTGATGACCTATTAAAATTATATCCAGTTCTGCAATATAATTTTGTAAATATTTTCAGATTACATAACTAGTAATATTTTCATAAGAAAACAATGTCAATAATAATCTGTTCTGATACCACACACAGCACCTGAGAGGCTCATTCAATGGCTAGTTGTGGTGTCAGCAGCTGTGAGAGCTATCAAGTTTTAAGGAGGTGGATAGAATATGCCATGTAGCAGAGTTTCTTATGGAAGCCTCCTGAGTGCTATTTATATGGTGCAATAGGTTTAAACAGTACTGATGCACACCCAGGAAAGATTAGTTTTGGCTTGAAATTGTCATTCTTTAAGAAATCAGAAACTAGGGCAGAATACTAAATTGCTGCAAATGAAAACAGAAATAATGAGTCTAAGGAAAAGTTTGCCTAAAGGCACAAATCACTCTGCCTTTATCCCCTGATTAGACAGATAATAACAGTGAATTATAACAAGGCTGCTGCAGAATCAGAGTCAGTAAACAGAGTCTATACAGAGTCGTAATATTTGTAAACCCAACTAGAGATAATGGATGTCAAATATATTATTTTTCCCTCCTCTACATTTTAACATTTTATCAGAGTAAGAGATGAAATCTTTTTGGTAATCTACAAAATAAAATAACAATTACAATTTTCTGTAAAAAGCAAATAGCAAAGAATTGATGGATTAGTAGTTACCAGCACTCAGCCGAGAACGTTTTCTTCATGTTTTCCTCTGCCCGCTGTTACTACATTTCAGCCAAATTCCTTTGTCAGCTAAATTGCAATTTAAAAAAAAAGAAACAAAAGAAGAGAGCAAAAACAAACATACTATACGTATATTCCATATATACCAGTTAGTGATCAATCACTGTTAATGGACAGCATGTTTATGTCTCAACTGTTAATTCATTGCTCCTCGGCACCATTTAGTTCTGCAAAATATGCAGTGTTTTAGAATACTCCCTGGATGAAATTTTACCTTTTCTGTTAGGGTTATCAGTCAAAACTTAAGAGCTATATATATGACACATCTTGGGGACATGCAACACAAAAAGAAAATATATCCATGTTCATTTTATAAAAGTTTCTGATAACCTCAGTGATAGTTTGCAGGGCCTGAAAATCAGATGGGTGCTTTTTATAAAGCTAAATGTGATCATGGAGTTCACAAAGTTGAGCACCTATTATTTTACACTTTGAATTCTAATTTGTTCTTTTCATTAAAAAGAATGCGAACGTGTAAGTCACTTTAACAGGTTGATATACGGGCTCATGACAGTTTCTTACGGGACTTGCCACCTAGAGATACTCTAATGGGATGTCATCTACACTTGCCAAATCATATTATATGACTTAGCCATAGCTGTGAAAAAAGCGATCTGAGTGCCTCTTTTACCCTATTGAAGAATTTAAATAAAGTTCCTGTAGCCTTGGCCAATCAGGCATATTACCCTCCAATAATAGAATTGCAGTCACTCGATGTTCCATTTAAAGACAGCATTAAAAATTTTCTTGTCAGGAGACTCCCATGGCTGGAAAGAAGGGTCTTTGATGTTGAATGGAAAGGAAATATTTTTCTGAGACAGTTTGGAAATCAAGTTCCAGATGACGGCATCCATAGTATCACATAAAGATTTTGCCAGAAGCAAGATATATTTGACTTAGTTGCTCCTTGTTAGCCTGAGAAGGGGATGAGAAATTTCATGACAGCAGAACTACTTTTGAAATTTTGTGCACCATTTCTTCTTTCAGATGTGTTGGATTTCTAAGAAAATCATATTTCTTTGAGGAAATACAGTTATTTTGCTTGTAGCTACTCACTAAAAAGGGCAATTGAAATTAACAACAACAACAACAACCAACCAAGAGTGAATGTAAAGCAAAGTAGTTAGCATAGTTAGCACTAGAGAGCTCCAATAGACCTTCAAAATTTGTCACATTTCTTTCTACCACTACGAAGTGAGAATATGCTATCAGAGACTGGTGAGAATTAAGGACATTTCAACGGACCTTATTTCCAAAGAAGTAAGACTTTCTCTGTTCTAAAGGAGATAGTTAAAGATCAGAAGTGAAGAAAGATGTGTCACTTTTGGATAATCTCTGCTTTTCATAAAGTTTCACTAAGGAATGGGGTGTCCCAATGAACATTTACTATTTGAAGAGCTAAGAAAATAGAAGTATTATTAAAATAATAATTTTATTGAAAATGTGGGAAAATACTGACTTCCTTATACAATATTGCAAATCCAAAACTGATTTGGGAAACAATAGGATTAGCCATCCAAATAATTTAACACTTTAGCTTTTGCTTAGTAAATCATGTTTTAATATAACAATTCTTTTGGGTAATGTGGAAGTCATTAATATGGCTCATCAGATGTTCTCATCTTTTTGCCTATTAGGCACTCCCTGGCCCTCTTATGAGAGGGATAGACATGTGACTGAATGTGGCTGGCCAATGAGTTCTGAACAGGAATGATGTGTGTGACTTCTGAGCCATAATATTTGACAGCTGAGACAGAATATTCTTTTGATTACTGATCTAGAGTTATCTGTGTCTCTGACAATATACCCAGTCATGGCTGCTATATCTGCTTGGCTCCAGGATATGAACAATGCTTTGTTGTGAACAATGCATACCAGAATTCTTAGCCATCCAAGATAGACACAAAGCAGAGATTTAAAATAAGCCATACCATTTCAAATCATGGAGATTCTGACGTGGTTTGAACAACCACAATCTAGCCAATCATGACTTGATAAAAGAAAGTTTTTGAATTTCTAAAAATATTTTTCTTTACAAATTAAAGGGCTATGGTCTAAAATTGGTAAACTATTTGAGAATTTTAGAGTTGTTAGGAACTTCTGTATTAAGCAGCCCATTCAGTAGCCTGGCATTTAAGCTAAGTTCTACGGAATCCTGTATGCTGATGCAATTGTTTTTGAGAGAGTTAGGTCCAGAATGTTGCTTAGTTTCTATTCTGAAAGCATCTCTGCCAACTCTAGAGAGTTTAGATATCTACTTATTTATATCTACATCTATCTATATTTATATTAAACAAAAGTGACAGGACATGGTAATAGATGCAATGTATAGGTGAATTAGAGAGAGGTATCAAGCTTGACTCCCAGGTTTCTGATAGAATGGCTGAATTGATGGCAATACCTTTCACTGAGAGGAAACATTGGCAGAAAACCAGTTTTGAATGAAGAGGTAAGTGTATTTTTGGACACGTTGACTTTGAGTCACCTTTGAGACATCAAGTAGATGTCAAGATGCTAATTAGATAGAGAAGTCTGAAACTCAAAGTAGAAATCTGGACTTGGATATACACTTGTAAATTTTTTGTATATGGTGTAATATAGTGTTTATAAATGAGATGGTGGAAGAAGAAAGAATGACAACAGAAGAAGAGGCTTTAGAGTTAAAACTTAAAATGTTTTTCTATGTAAACAAAGTGCTTGCAATTTAAAAGGAGTGATAGAGAAGGGATGTAGAAGCAAAATCAGGGAGTATTGCCTAATAAAAGCCAAGAAAAGAGAGTATTATAAAAATTGGTCAATAATGTTAGATGGCGCTGCAAATTCAGGTAAAATAAGGACTGTTATATTTAGTACAAATGAGATTACTGTTGACTTTAGTAAGAGCTGTTTCAGTGGAGCATGGAACTAGGACAACATTTTAAAAATAACATATAATGGTATTTTAAATAGGTTTGTTTATCCCTCTTCATTTCTAGTTAGAGTATGGGTTTGTTGCCTTTTTTGATTCCTAAAAGAAATGATGCAGAAAATACATTTTATAAAATACAGACAGTGCTTCAAATCCTCAAATCATTGTAATAGCAATAAAGCATATAGTAGATGAAATGCTTTCATGTACATTAATTCATAAAATCCCCTAGAGGTGAGAATCTTTCATTCATGATCATTGTTCTAAAATTCATAAATAAACACCTATTCCACTGTCTTAAAATTATCATTTATGAAGTAGCACGGTCTCAATATTTTGCTCATAAGTCATAATAATTATGAAAATGGCAACTTATTTATTTACATGCTAATTTTTATTCAGAAAATATGATGTGAATGTTTAAATGCACAATTTTAGCTAATCAAAAAAACATTATCAAATTACAATCCAAACAGATTGTCTGACTATTAAAATTCAGCAAGTCAAATGTTCTAGGGGTCTAGCAGGAGGATTAAGGCGAGGTCGCTTAATGGCAGGCATACCACTTACAGCTCCATTTACGAAGAGAACAGGCAGGCAATCTGGCTGAGCTTCACCTGAATTCTCTAGAATTTCTCTAGAAACTCATGAAAGACAGTTGTGCATTTCTGGTTCTCCAAATAAGCTATCTACAATTAAATCCAGCACATGTGCTATTTCTTCAAACATCTGTGAAAATAGGTTCTGAAATATAGAGTTAAATGAGTAACACGCTTTGAAACTACTTTCTCTCATTTCGAATTCACATAAATGCCATGCATGAAGTCATTTTATAA
Organism: Homo sapiens; assembly: GCF_000001405.40. Lineage (NCBI taxonomy): Eukaryota > Metazoa > Chordata > Mammalia > Primates > Hominidae > Homo > Homo sapiens. The sequence continues at coordinate 117,417,035 of NC_000005.10, forward strand.
AATGCTTTTAATCAGTGTCTATGATACTGCATTTATGGCACAGCATGAATGAATAAAAAGGAAAAAAATGTAACAAATCTGTTCATTGATTAGTACATAATTTAGTGTGGTTTAAGTTCCACTTTCCTAACTTAGATGCTTAAGCCAAAAAGTAGTACCTATTAGATTGAAAATTACTTATTTCTTAGTGTCTATTTTTCTTTAAATTTTCAAAATATTTGCAACAGTGAACAATCTAGCTCATAGCTTCACTTACATATTATTTAGATTTGCTCAGGTATTTCGTTTAAATGTTCATTTCGCTTGTTGCTAATTGTTATCATTGAGGAAAAAATTCTCAAATTCAATTTAATTTTATTAAAACAAACCTCTCTTGATTTATGTGGGGGCATATGCTGATTTTAATTATAGAGAGAAATTTTATCTGAACAGCAAGTGGAGATTAACCTTCACATCCTAAAATAAACATCCTGGAAAACCATTCAGTCAGCCCATATTATCTTTACATCATTACAACAGTCAGAGGATGTTTAATGGTAGCAATCCAACAAAAGGTTAGAAAACTAATAAATATTTAGGCTGGAGTCCATGGCTAATTAAAATCACATAAACAGATAATCAGATATCCAAACCTCCAAGTTTATTGTTGTCCTTTTAAAACTCAAAAATCTAATGAGCATAGCCTTTAAGAATAAATTAAGAACTCTCAATATCGAGATCAAGCAGGGGAGTGCATGTTTATAAGAAAGATTTTTTAAAAAATGCCCATTATCTTTTGACCTTTGGTGAAGTACATGATATTCTCATATGGAGTAAGCCCCTTGAGGATATTTGGACTAAAGAACTTAGTGTGTCTTCCAATCACAATATATTCTGATTCTATTATTGCAAGCAACTCCTCATTTCTACTCCAAACCCATCAACTCTAACGAATAAGAAAACCACATGAATTTGCACATTATCAACTCAATTATGACCTGATAAATAATTTCAAGACTATTCTTAAAATGGTCAAGAAAAAAACATTTTTATTTTCTAATTAACCTGTTTATCTTTGGCTTTATGGACTTCATTGATCGTCAAGCCTTAAATGACTATTAAAGTCACTGCTTTCTGTAAACAATACTTATGATAACTTTACAGATAACTCACTCAAAGGATTTTTTTTTTAATTACCCCTTGAGGCAAATACATCACGGTGATTGAAGCTAAATGAAAATAACTGGTTGCACCAGTTTTGACTATGTGTTTCATTAACAAATATTAAATTGTTTCTAATTACATTTTTTTGTCTTAGGATGTAAAGTCATGCTAGATGACAAGTGAGGAGAACATGTATTAAATACAAGTATAGATATTTGTCATTTTTTAAACCTCCTTTCTGGGCCCAATATGAGTGAAATAGTTTTGTCCTGTAGTCACAAAGTGTATAGCAACTCTTTGTAGTTTTTGATATATAGTTATTAATTGGGTTCTAAAAGAGCTTTTAACCTGCCTTGGCTTACGTTTGCTGTTACCAACCAATCTCACCTAAACAGGTGAAGGCCATGCATGCTTTTCATTGTACTGTGAAAAAAGTCTATGGCAAAAGATCAACTCATTGCTCTAGAAATGTTATCAAACGTTTTGATCATGACTTTAATAATTTAGTGAACCTAAAACAAATAATTTTGAAGAACAGAAATAAATTATTCACCATACAAATTTCAAAATAGCCATGTTTTTCTTCAAAACATTTAGGAAGAAAAAATCAAATATTTTTTAAAATCATAAAATAAGAAAAATACCCATTATAGCAATATGACAATAAATTTGAATGAGAAGAATTCTCTAATAACATAGGAAAGCATTTTAGAATGAACTTATTTATGTTAAAACTTCATTTTGTGATGAAGATATATCAGATAAATAGGAAGATAAGAAAACCAGGGAGAGTAATGTTGGTATCACATACTGTACATGAAAGAAAAATATTTCATATGATATAAAATCACATTTCATTGAGAAAAGTGTGATAGCAAACATATGAATCATAAAACTATCAAATATTACAGCAGCAATAAGTCACAAAGCAAAAACAATTTGGAATAAAATGACCTATTAACAAGAAACTATTGCAAAACTTTTAGAATGCCATTGTGATTCAATGGCAGATCAAATGTACAGGGTACTAATGAGAATTGCCATTTACTTGAGGAAAGGGTTTTTTTGTTTGGTTTTTACTTGTTTTTGCAGTTTTTTATTGTGATAATATACATATAATATAAAATTTACCATCTTAACCATATAAAGTATACAATTTAGTGGTACTAAACACATTCATAATGCAGCACAACCATCAGCACCATCCATCTCCAGAACTCTTTAATCTTGTAAAACAAACTTTATATGCATTAAATTATAACTTTCTGTTTCTACCTCTACCCAGGCCCTGAAAAGTAACTTTCTACTTTCTATCCCAATTATTTGGACTATTCCAGGTACCTTATATAACTGAAATAATGTATTATTTGTCTTTTTGTGACTTAGCATAATATTCTCAAGGCTCATCCATGTTTTAATATAGATCAGAATTTCCATCCTTATTAGGGCTGAAAAATATTTTATTGCATGTATATGCCACATTTTGGTTATTTATTTATCTGTATATGTACACTTGCGTTACTTTCACATTTTACCTATTGTGAATAATGCTGCTATGAACATAAATATGCAAGTATCTGTCCGGCACCTCACTTTCAATTTTGGGATATATATCAAGAAATGGAATTGCTGGATGGTGTGATAATTCTATTTTTGATTTTTTGAGGAACTGCTGTAATGTTTTCCACAGCGATTGTACCATTTTACATTACAACCAACAGTGTACGAGGGTTGCAATTTTTCCACATCCTGACCAGCACTTGTTATTTTCTGTTTTTTTTTTTTTTTAGTGATAGTCATTCTAATGGGCATGAGGTGGTATTGCAGTATAGTTTTCATTTGCATTTCTTTAATGCTTAGCGATATTTACCATCTTTTTATATGCTTTGTTCATTAGTTTTGTATTCAAGTCCTTTGCCTGGATTTGAATTGGGTTTTTTTTTTTTGTTGTTGTTGTTGTTGAGTTCTGTATACATTTTAGATATTGTTCCATTATCATATATGTAATATGCAGATATTTTCTCCCACTCTGTAGGTTGCTGTTTTACTCTGGGAAAGTAGTATCTTTTGATGTGCAAACTTTTATAATTTTTATGAAGTTCAATTTGTCTACTTTTATCTTTTGTCATCTGAGCCTTTGGTGTTATGTCTAAGAAATAACTGCCAAATCCAATGGCATGAAGATTTTATTTTTTGTTTAAAGCTAACAGTTTTATAATTTTAGATTTTACATTTAGGTCTTTGATCCATTTTCAGTTAACTTTTTTGTATTTGGTGTTAGGTAATAGTCCAACTTTGTAATTTTGCATGTGGATATACAGTTTTCCCACTACTGTTTCTAGAAAAGACTGTCCTTTCCCCATTGAAAGGTCTTGGTACCTTGTCAAAAATTATTGGATTGTATATATGAAGGCTTATATATAAACTTTCTATAGTATTTCATTGGTCTATATGTTTGTCTTTATGCCAGTAGCACACTGCTTTAATTAAGTGAGCTTTGTATAATAGTAAGTTTCAAATCAGGAAGTGTGAGTCCTCTAGCTTTATTCTTTTATAAAATTGCTTGGGCTATCTGAGGTTTCTTAAGATTTTATATCAATTTTGGAAGATTTTATATAAATTTCTTTCAACAACTTTTATAGTTTTCATTGTACAAGTCTTTTACCTCATTGGTTAATTCCTGCTTTTTTATCTTTTTGTCAGGAGATTTTTGATTACTGTTTTAATCTCCTTGTTAGTTAGAGTCTATTGTATTTTTTTTTCTTTGAGACAGGATCTTGCTTTGTCACCCAGTCTGAAGTGCAATGCCCAATCACAGCTCACAGCAGCCTTGACATGTAGGCTCAAGTGATTCTCCCACCTCAGCCTCCCACAAAGCTGGAACAATAGGTATATACCACCCATGCCTGGCTAATTTTTTAAATTTTTTGTAGAGACAGGATATCCCTATGCTGCCGAGGATGGTCTCAATCTCCTGAGCTGAAGGGATTCTCCTGCCTTGGCTTTCCAAATTGCTGGGATTACAAGTATGAGCCACTGCACCTGACCAGACATTATTTTTCTTTATGACTTAGTCTTAGCAGGCTTTGTATTTCCAGGAATTTGCACATTTTTTCTAGGTTATCTAATTTGCTTCTGTAATTGCTCTTGTATTTAACTGTAACAAAATATTTCTTTATTTTGCCTCATGTTTCTATTTAGTGTCCTTAATTTTTCCTTGGAGGAATCCTTTGAGTATTTCTTGCAGAGAAAGTCTACTGGTAATAAACACTCTGAGCTTTTGTTTATCTTGGAATATCTTAATTTCTCTCTCACTTTTGAAGAACACTTTTGTTGGATATAAGATTCTTAGTTCACAGTTTTTTTTTTTCTTTTAGCACTTTGAATATATTAGTTCACTACCTTCTAGTCTCCAAAGACTCTGATGAAAAATTTGCAGACAATCCAATTGAAGATCACTTGTATGTAATGAGTTACTTCCCTCTTGCTGATTCCTATATATTCTTTTTGTCTTTGGTTTTGAAAAATGTGCTTATAATGTGTCTTGGTATGGATCTATTTGAGTTCATCTTACTTGGAGTTCCTTGAGCTTCTTGGATGTTTGTATTTATGTATTTCATCAAACTTAGAAGTTTTAATTCTTCAGATACTGTCTCTTCCTCTTTCTCTATCTCTTCTCTTTTGGGGATTCACATAGTATGCATGTTAGTCCACTTGATGGTATTCCATTGGTCCCTCTGGTACTATTCACTTTTCTTCAAATATTTTTCTCTCTGTTCCTCAGACTCAGTAATTTGCATTTTCCTATTATTGTTTGCTGATCATTTTCTCTGTCCACTCAAATATGCCTTTGAATTCACCTAGTGAATTTGTTATGTCACGTTGTACTTTTCAGGTCTATAATTTTTTGTTTGCTTCTCTTTGAAATTTTTTTTGTTGTTAATATTTTTACTGTTGTTGGACTTCCTTCACATCTTTTCTTAGTTCTTTGAGCATCTTTAAGATAGGTGGTTTAAAGTCTTTGTCTAGTAGTTCTGCCATTAGGTCTTTCTCAGGGAGAGTTCTGTTGATAATTATTATTTGAAATTGTGATACCTTCCTGTTTCTTTGTATGCCTTCTTTTTTTATTTTAAAAAAACATTCGAATGTAATAATGTGATAACTTCTGAAATCAGATTTTCCCCCTTCTCCAACATTTTCTGTTTTAGGTTATTGTGTTTGTTTCTTCTTATTATTATAATTTTATAGGCTATTTCTGCATGAACAATTGACCTAAGGTATGGATATATAAAACATATACATAAAAACAGTAAATTATATTGATTGAATTATATTGTTGAATAATGAACCAACCTTGCACCCTTGAGATAGAACTCACTTGTTAATGATGTATTATGTCTTTTATGTATTGTTGGATTCAATACATAAAATTCAATTTGGAGCCAGCAGATGTCATCTCTCGTGTTAATATTTGGTTAGAAATTTCTGTGTCAATGTTCATGAATAATGTCCTTTGCAGGATCTGAACTTAGTTTAAACTACAATTAAAAAATGACCTAGAAACTGTTATTCATCTTATATTTCCTGAAAAAGTTAGTGTAAGACTGTGGAACCAGTTTAAGAATTATCAACAAAAAAATTTGATTTCAGATTGATATCTATCATGGTTTTGTGTTATTTTTTTCTGATCAGTTTTTATTAATTGTATTTTTTAAAGACTTCTGTACTTCATATACTCTGTCAAATTTATCAGTATAAATTATGCATAATACTCTTTATTAATGAATATGATCCAACTAACTTGCACCCTTCAATACTTGTATTTGGGAATTTGTCTTTTTTCTTTTGTGTGTGTGTTAAATCTTGTTAGTAGCCTGTTAATTTTATCAATTATTTAAAAGAATTTTTAGCTTTGTTAATAATCTTTCTAGTATGCATTTTACTTTTATTGCTTTTTGATCTTTTAATTATTACTTTATATTTACTTTGAGATTAATTTGTTCTATTTTCCTTGCTTATTCAGAGAAAACTTAGGCTTTTTTAAAATATTTTTTATTCTAAGCTTCTAAGCACTGTTTTAGCTGCATTCTCTATCATGTGATACCTGTATTTTTATAATTATTCAGTTTGAAATATTTTCTAATTTGCCATTAAATTTTTGTTTGAGTCATGAGCTTTTTAAAGAAGTACTATTCAAATTCTAAATATTTGGGATATTTCTAATAACTTTTTATTATTGGTTTCTCATTGAATTATGTTTTGGTCTAATGATAGTAATATTTCAGTCATTTAAAATGTATTAACGTTTATTTTTATGGCCTAGCATGTGGTATAACTTGGTGAACATTTCATGCACACTTGAGAAGAATATGTATTCTGTAGTTGTTGGATGCTGCATTTGATGAAAGTCAGTTAGGCCAAGGTGATTAATTTTGTGGTTCAAATAATAAATATCTCTATATTCTGTCTGTTTTTGAAATTTCCAGTGTGATTGTGGATTGGTCTCCCTCTTTGGTGTTATCAAATTTTGCTATATGTACAGTGAGGTATTAGCTTCAATTTTGAAAGACAGTTTATTGACTATGGAGTTTGACTTTTTAATTTGTTTATTTAGTTCTTTAAATATACTGTTTCATTGCCTTTTGGTCTCTATTGTATCAAATCACCTTGGTCTCTAATAACCTGTGGGTCCTATATAAAGAATTAGTCTTGTTTTGTCTCTTTTGGACAGATATAATTAATGCAAATTTACAAATACATTTTTAAAAACGTTTAAAGTGCATCATACAAATACGAAATTGAATAGTGTAATCTCTCCCTCTCTTTCTTGTCCCTCCTACTACCTTCCCATTTATTGATCATAATGTATATACTAGCCGGGTTTCTATGCAATTTAGATATAATATCTGAACTTTTGCAAAGCAATATAACTGTGGTATTAATATTTTTTTTCTTATTCTCAGCTGGGCATGGTGGCTCATGCCTGTATTCTTATTACTTTGGGAGGCAGAGGCAGGCAGATCACCTCAGGTCAGGAGTTCAAGACCAGCCTGGCCAACATGGCGAAACCCCGTTTCTACTAAAAATACAATTAGCTGAGCGTGGTAGAGGGCGCCTGTAATCCCAGCTACTCAGATGGTTGTGTCAGGAGAATCACTTGAACCCAGGAGGTGGAGGTTGCAGTGAGCGCGATTGTGCCACTGCATTCCAGCCTGGGCAACAGAGCAAGACGCTGCCTCAAAAAAAATTCCTTATTTTCTTCATCTATAAAATGTGTATAATAATAGTAAATACATTATATGGTTTTAGTGAGAAATAGTGCAATAATGATTATGAAACTCTTAGGAAAGTGTCTGCTTCTTAGTAATTGTTTATTAAATGACAACAATTAAAATTATTTTTGTTATGCCCATTTTACAAATGCCAGTTACCAATTTATTGCCTCTCAAGTTTAAATCCACCTTATCTGTCATACTTTTGATACTGTTGCTGGCCCCAGTAGATTTCTTTTTTCAGCTGGCTCAATGTTAGGCTCTGTCAATAGAGGGTACTGCTTCAGTGTGTGGCTTCTTTGGTGCAGAGTCAGCAGATATCTTCTCTCATGAACCATCTCTTGCTCATACCTTCTGGATAGTTTCTTTGCAGTCGGAGGCTGCTTATTCTTGTGACAGCCACACCCTCTCAAAAGATGTTCGAATCTCAGTTTTGGGGATAGAGGCTCTTGTTAACATTTTACTTTCTTCATTGCTTACTCTCCATCAACTTTTGATGTAGTAGCTTTGCTTTTGCTACTACTATACTAAACCCTCACTTGGTTTAGTAGTTTAGTAGTTACCTGCATTTTAACTAGCTTACAATTCTTTATATATAAAAATTTTTTAAATATAAAATTCCTTTGTTCATATTACTGATGAAGTTTCTGTCTCTTGATTGGACCCTAAGTGATGGCACATACAATATCTAAGTGTTAGAAAATTGACTAACTAAATCTCACAAAATGGATGACCTGTAGGGCTTAGAATTAAAACCGGTTTTACTTTTGTGCAGATTATTATCCATTAAGGCCTACAGATCTGCTCTCTATCTCCCTCCATCTTTCTTGGTGCCATGAGAGACTGACTTTGTCCTCTGTTAGTGAATTCCTTTGTCCTCTGTTAGTCAGTGGGGGGTACCAGCAAGCGTTCAGGAGGAGGGAGAACATCAAAGTATTATTCTCCCAGCTCTCTTCCTGCAGGGTTGCTGTAGTTTGGCTTCTTGTTACATGGCTTCAGCTTCTGTGACAGTCCTCTTATTTCCATTTCCTGATAACACTTTCTCCTCTTGTCTTTATAAACCTAAGGGAGGTGTCTTAGCCCCGCTATATCTAGCTATAGAATATTGCACTGTCCCCCATGGTTTCCCAACACCTTGCCAACACTTTTGAAAAAAGTGTCTTTATTAGATACGTCTTAAATTTTACTAACTTTATTGCACCATCTGTTTTCTGCAGGGATCTTGACCAAAATAACAATATTCAAAAGTCTGTGCTCAATACCTTAACTTATAATGCCTCATTGGAAGCCAAATATCATGCCAAGTGCAAAAGTTTCTCTGCCAAATATTTTAACGTTTCATGTATTTGAGTTGGGATTTACTTAATTTTAAAAATCATCTAGAGAGGAAAATCCAATTTGAATGTTGGCAAAATGTTCTTTAAAAATAGAATTAAGTTTATGAGGAAAAGAAACTCTAGCTTCCACCTGTATCTTCTAAGCATTCATTTTCTCCTCTGGAAGTAAACATCTTTAAGTTTCTTGTGTTCTCTTCCAGAAATTGTCCATTCATTTACAAAGATTATGATAAATAAATGGATGTACAGACAAATGATAGATTAAAAAAATCTTTACACAAGTGGAAATACAATACACACAAAATAAAATTTCACTTAAAAACTACTTGGAGCTTTTTCTGTATCTGTCTTTATTTATTTTAGAGACAAGGGGTTGTGCTGTGTTGCCCAGGCTAGAGTGTAGTGGCACAATCATAGCTCACTGAGGTGTCACACTCCTGGTCTCAAGTGATCCTCTCACTTCAGCCTCCCAAGGCAACAAGATTACAGTCATGAGCCGCTGTGCCCAGCTCTCTCTCTTTTTTAAGGTAGCCTTTTAGTATTTTACTTTGAAAATATGCCATCATTTATTTAGCCAGTAATCTGATGATGGTCAATTGGCTTCTTTCCAATGATTTACTATCACAAAAATTCCACAATGAACATATTATATGTTTGTAAAAGTGCACATGTATATGTATTTGCACACAACAATATACTTTTAGGATTAAACCTAGGGGTAGAAGGTGTACACTTAATATATTGACATTGCCAAATTTCTATTGAAGTTGTACTGAATTATATTTCCACCAATAATAGATTACAATTCTCTTTTTCCTACAAATATCCTACACCATCTAATAGATAAAAATGTAGTATAATTATACCTTTTGTAGCATTTCTTTTCTGATTTGCATGGGTGAGATTAAGCACCTTTTCATATATTTAAGAACTATTTGTATTTTCTTTTTAAGTGTAACTGTGTTCAATGTTGTTTATTTTTCTACAGTGCACATTTTTTGAGCTATTATATTGATAGAGCTTTTTGTGTATTAAGGAAATGAGCCTTTATCTGTAATGATGTGACAATATTTTTTCTTAGTTTTTTCTGTTTTTCTTTGGACATAGTTTATGGTTTGATTTAGCCATTCAGACATTTTTAAATTTAATGTGGTCTAATATGTTAGGCTTTTATGGTTTGGGTTTTTTTTTCATACTTAGAAAATCATACATTTTCTAATAATTTTTTTTGTTTTTAGTCCAATATAATTTTGGTATACGTTTATATTTGTCATCCATTTTGAATTTTTTTCAGTGTAGGTAATATAGTGGTCCAATATATTTTTTTCCGAAATGACGATTGATCACACAACTATTTTAAAATCATTGATTGAAAATCAATTTTCACTATTTATTTTCAGAATTACTTTATCATGTAATAAATTTACACACATATATTAATATATGTATTTATACATATTTAAGACCGTCTATACTCTTTGTTCTATTTATATTTCTCTGTTATTGATTTATTTCATACTATTTTATAATATGTTTTGTAATCTAATAAAATATTTTCTCCTGGTTTTGGATCTTTATTTTCCCACATGACTTTGGATCTTTTTTATCTGGATCTTAATTCAAAGTCCTGTTGGTATTTTTATTGTGGTTTTATTAATTTAAATTTAGTAGAAGCATTGATAGAGTTGTGATACTGAATCTTCCTCTAGGAATGGCATATTGAATGGCTTACTCTTTAGGATAGTTTGTTTTTTTCTTACCTCATTGCCATAAAATTGGTTAGGTATATATTAAACAATATGTTGTGAGAAAATTCTCCCTCTGTTCTTGACCTTTCTGATTTGTGATGAACTTTATCTGCCCTTTCTTATCAGCAGATGACCTAACCCTCTCTTTCATGGACTAAATAAAATCCACAAATTTAAATTTTCTGCCACAATATCCTTATTTACTTGTATCTGTATCAAAGCTTCTCCTCTTTTCTTTAAGAAAAAAACAGAAATGGTTCTTTACTTTGAGATAGGCATTATCTGTTATCCAAGTGTATTTCTTTTTTGCTCTTCAGAGCCATAACTTCATGACCTTTAGCAGCTAAATATTTCTTCTAACAAATTCCAGATATATTCTCTTCTTTTGACCTACATCACTGTCATTGTTGTGCAGAAGGTCAACAATATTTTCTTTGGTAATTGGAATAACTTCCTAATAAATCTGCATATCTCCAGTTGTGACAATTTTCCCCAGTCTCCGCAAATTCATTCTTCAACTTTCATTGTTAGTGTCCAACTGAATTCATAATGTTCTTGTTCAACTACACATTTGATTGTTATACAGTCTTACTAAAACCCTTCAATAGGTTCCCAATGCTTTTCAGATGAGGGCCAAGCTCCTGATCATGGCTTGTAGAAGGAGACCACACATTCTGGCTTTTCTTTATCTTGCCATCCTGATCTTACTATAGTCCTTGTGACACTTTGTGGGCTCCCAAGGTACCCAGTTTAGTTTTCTGAATCTTGAGTCTACCATGCTCCTCTCTACTAGTGCAGCAATATATATATATAATTTTTTTTTCAGCTGATTTTCTCTTTGTCTGGAACTTTCTTCTATCTATTCCTCTCCTACTCCTAAAGGAAAACTGTTTTAATTCAGGTCAACTTTACTATTTACCTGACTTATTACAGGCAGTAGAGCATAGTAATCAGGAATATAATATTTAGGATGAAAAATTCAGTTTTTGAATCCTGTTTCTACCACATACACAATTTGTGTGATCTTGGGCAATTTCTTATCTAATCTGAGCCTCAGTTTCTGATTTACATAAAATACTGATAAGATCTACTTCACAAAGTTATGACAATTAAGAGGTATAAAATACATGATGTGCTTAGGACATGGTCCAGCTCTGAGTAAGTAGTCCATAATATTATCTTCTTCTGTTATGTCCAGGTTGCCTTCTTTCTTTAGGCTATTCTCCACAATACAGTGACCTCATCAAGTTACAAATATGCTTAAAACTCATCTGGGCCTATTCAATATCTATATAATAAAGAACAAATTCCTTTCTTCTTTTACTTAGCATGTATTTATTGGGAACATTTTATATGAAAGTTATAGTGTGATGAAATAGTGAATGGTAAATGAAACACTTTCAATATTCTGTCTTAAAGAGCTTATATTCTACTAGAGTAGACAGATCTAGTATTTCTCTCTCTTTTAGATCCTAACTGAGGATTTTAGGGTGCTGTTGAAGCAATGAAATCATATATCTTGTGCCCTCATGGTTTAAAGACCCAGAAATTGTTTCCTTAGGGGAATTGTTTTAACCGAGCCTGATAATATGAATAGAAATTACAAAGGAAACTTTAGCATAAGTAGTTTTGACTTGCGAGTCTTTAATGTGGCTATGAATCATTTTGTAATTTTGTCCCTTCTTGCTTTTCCACATCTTTCTGGTTTTTCCTTTCAGAAGCTTTGCTTAGGCCATAAAAATTATCTATAGTTTCCCAAAGAGACCAGGTTCTATTGACATAAGCCCTTTGCATATGTTACTGTCTCTTGTTTGACTGATTTTTCTCATCTTTTTTTCTTAGATAACTCATCCTATCCTTCAGGTTTTAGCTTGGATATTCCTTCTTCTGGCAGCCAGTTGAATTTGTTGTTCTGTAGATTACGTAGTACCTACTCATACAACATTACACTGGGTTTGCCTCTGTAGTTTGCAAAGCTCCACAAAGGCAAAGGCAAAGGCAATATTCCATTCTACTTTTTTCCCTTAGTTTCAAAAACAGTGCTTGGTACATTATTGCAGGTTGTCAATAAACATTTGTTGAGTAGATATATGAATTTCTAATATAAAAAGAAAATGCATTTAGCACATTCAAATCAGAACGCAATATTTTCCAATATGTTGTTGAATAATGTAGTGTGTGCCAAAAATTTAGGAAAGAATATATCTTAATCCAAAAAATAGAGCATCTGTCTTCCTAGCAGAATATAATCAGGAAAAATTTATGGGATAGAAATGGCTTTGGAATGTGAGCTGTCACTTTAAATTAATACCTTTTCTGGAAAAACTTTGCTACTCTTAGCATTATTGAAATTGTTTTTTTTTTCATATAACAAGTGAATGCATGTATACATATATATACACATGTGTATTCTCACATTTAAAATTGATGTATTAAGAAGGTTCTAGCAACATTTAGGGAAACATTAAAAATCTATGTCCATGCAAAGACTTAAACATTTTTATAGTGGTATTATTTATAATTGCAAAAAACTGGGTAACAATCCAAATATCCATCGACTGCTGAAATGGTAAACAAAATGCATCGTATTTATACGATGGAGTGTAATTTAGACATAATAATGAACAGACTACGGATATGAATATACCTCAAAAGCATTATAAAATAGTGAAAGAAACCAGACACAAAAGACTATGTATTGGATGATTTCATTTATATAAAATTTCTGAAAGGGACAAATCTCTAAGAGACAGAGAGCAATGCTTGCCTAGGCCTAAGAAATGAGAGTAGGGACTGACTGCAAACGGACAAGAGGCAATTTTATAGGGTGATGGAAATGTTTTAATGTTACAATGATGCTTACACAACTGTGTAAATCTACTAAAAGTCATTGAAATATAAACGTCAATGTGTGACTTTTATGGTATATAAATTACTCCTCAATAAAGCTCTTTACAAAAAGATTGAAAGAAACACATCCTAGTGCATTTTCTATTGGAGTATAAATTAGTACAGAGTTTTGGAGGATATTTTAGTAATATATATCAAAAGCCTTAAGATTATATTCTCTTTGACATAGCAATTACACTTCTGAGATTTTTGTTTTAAGGAAATAATTAAGAAATTATTAAAGTACACAAACATTTAAATATAAGAATTTTATTTCAGGATGAAAATTTTTCTTTGTTCAAAACAAAAGTTTTCTTTACTTATAATTGCCTCAATTTTTCTATTTTGGTTTGCATATAATCAGTGCTTTAATAAAAATAACATAATATTTGGTTTTAGGATGAATATTAACAGTAAAATAAGTTGGAATTAATCTAAATATTCCAAGGGAAATATGGAAGCATTTCCTAACTCTTCCTCATGAATAGTTATTCTCTTTTTAATTCATATAATATAGCTCCATAGCTCCTTTTGCTTCCCCACCCATACCGTCAGCTTTAACTGACTACATAAACATACTGGAGAAAAACTACTTTCCTAGCCGACTTCACAGTTAGATGTGCACATGGTATGAACTACTGACCAATGTATGTGAATAAAACTAATGTGTCCAATTTCTGAGCCATGCCAATTAAAGTCATGTAGCTTGCAATCTAACTTCATTTTTTCTTCACCCATCCTGTGCTTGGCATGTAGATGTGGTGTTGGTGAGCCACATTAAAACTCGTGGTTGAGGACAATGTACTATAAGTTATGACAGAGTGACAAGGTAGATGAAACCTAGGTCCCTGAATGACATGAAGCAGAGCTGTCCTTTCAGCCTGGACTGGCCAGATGGTTAATGTAAAACAGAGAGCCACTGCAGGTCTTCCAATAACATCGTTTCATTCAAAGTTCCTTCGTCATTATGTTGGTAAGAAAACAAATAAAAAGAATCCTGCCTGGGCCAACTCTCTCTGTGGAGTTTGCTCATTCTCCCCATGTCTGTGTGGGTTTTCTCTAGGTACTCTGGTTTTCTTCCACACTCCAAAGATGTGCACATTAGGGTGAATTGGTGTGTCTCAATTGTCGCAGTGTGACTGAATGTGTGTGGGTATGTGAGTGCACCCTGTGAAGGTATAGCATCCTGTCCCAGATGGTCAAGGTCCCCACCTTGCACCTGAGCTTCTAGGATAGGATCTAGTCACCCATGACCCTTAACTGGAATAATTGGGTAAATAATTATCTTACTTATTACTCTTTCTCAAAAATATGAATAGCTCATATTTATTTTAATGTTTAAGATTAGAAGTGTTTTGGTCTTTTTTTTTTTCTTAGAAGTTCAATGATGCATTGTGTCCAGAAATATGCCATTGGAATTTGACCCTTGTTTGTATCAACTAGCTTATGGTAAAATTGGTTTTGTTATATATGGTTTTGCTTACAGTCACAGCTTCCAAGAACGTATTGATGTTTAGTGAGGACTTAATGTACTTTGATTGTATGTCAGCTGCTCTAGTTCTTGTTCTCATGTTATAGCAGCTTAAAGTAGCACCTTCTAATATAGGAGAGGCCAAATAAAAAAAAGTGATACGATTAAGTGAAATATAACCATTAATTACATACTGGAATTGAAAGAGAGCTGTGGACATGGGACATGCTTTATTTCTGGATATATCTATACATTTCAGCAGTAGACACACCAAGTTATAATGGCACTAAAAGTTGAAAAAGCATGTAAACAATTTGCCTAGTAAAGATATTTGGGATTTTTTTTTTTTTTTTTTTTTTTTTTTTTTGAGATGGATTCTGGCTCTGTCACCCAGGCTGGAGTTCAGTGGCGTGATTTCGGCTCACTGCAACCTCTGCCCCCAGAGTTCAAGTAAGTCTCCTGCCTCAGCCTTCCAGGTAGCTGGGACTACAGGCCTGCACCACCATGCCTGGCTAATTTTTGTATTTTTGATAGAGATGGGGTTTCGCCATGTTGGCCAGGCTGGTCTTGAGCCCATGACCTCAAGTGATCCACCTGCCTGGGCCTCCCAAAGTGCTGGGATTACAGGCATGAGCCACCGCGCCTGGCCTGGGATTCTTAAGGTAAAAATGTATTATATGCAGGATGGTTAAATGATGCTAAGATATTTAGTTATACCCCACATAACATTCTACAGTGTGACAATATGATATTTTTCATTCTCATTCAATTCTCTATCTTTGAGAACTCATTAATTCATAGAACTTAAACTTCTGCTACTCTATATACCAATCCCAGATCTATTTCTCTGAGTGCAAAAAATTCTCTTAAAACCTAAGGGACATGCAAAGCTGGGGCAAATATTATGTCTGTTCACATGACGGGGGGTAAACTTGACTACAAAGAATCTATGGGCACCTAAGACCAATAACTGTACTACCAAGATAAATTCCAGATTGTTATTATATTGCACAGTGAAAGCTAACTCAGTATGAAATGAACTGTCTTAGGAGATACTGGAGTTGTCTTAATATAATCCTATCAAGTGTTGTAGATACTAAAGATAAAGTAGTAAAAATTATAAATATGTATTTTGGCCTAAGTGACCATTCAGACTTTTGGTTATCTCAGAGGTTACCACATTCTTTGTTAAAATGCATGTCCGAACAATGCCATAGTTTGAATGCAATGCTTTGTACAAAAAGAGTTTTTTGAAATTATATTTTCCTTATTTTTAGAAAATAATGTTTTTATATTAACCTTCAAAGTCTATGCTAGCTATATTTAGGCATGTCTTTATGATCACAGTTTCAGCTAAATTTCCTGGAAACTCACTGTTGTAGTGTGCTCTTACCTGAATTAATTTTGTTTTACTCTTCTTGGTCCTCAAAGACTGAATTTTTGGAACATTTTAGCACAAACCACAAACATCTTTAAGGAAAAACAAATAAGATACTTTTTGACATCTGGAAACCTTACAGTTAGTTTTTAGCTTATAAGTTTGGTCACCCTTCATAAGTTTACTTACAATAGCAAGTACATTTTATGTGCATTTTACATGTTGGTGTAATATAAGATACAGTCAATGCTGACTTGGAAAGATACACAGAAAATCTTTGCAAATTTTGAGGTAGAAAAAACTACTGTTTTATATGTCTCCACTAAAATGACAAAGATGCTTAAGTAAAGTTATAATGCATTTATGACTCATTTTTTCTATTAAAAATAAGAACTGATATAATGATTTTCAACATCTACTGTTGATTTTCTACAGACTGGTGATTCGATCATGAGTAAAGGAATGGTGACTGATTTTAGCCTTTGGAGAGTTGAAGAGAGCTAGCTAAAACTGCAGGCTGTGATTCAGAAATCCCATAACTGAGAAAGCCTAAAACTCAAAAAGGGCACGTTTATTGTTGAGACAATATGGCCTAAATTAATCTGAGTATATTCAAATGCAAAGTGAAAATGCTAAGCATTTAAGTGCCTTCAGCTCCTGTTCATTCCCCTAAATGGAAAAGCTGCTACAATGAAGAAAATACCTGGCAGCAGACACAGTGGCTTGGATGTGGCAGGCAGAAATGAGCTGCTTATACACCCATGTACTCCTCTACAAACCATGTAATAAATGTGCATGAGTCAGTGGGAAGTGAAATGGTTAGCCATATAATGCAGAAAGGTGTATTTTCTTCCCACATTAGCAAATTAAAATACAGCCTGCCTTCATTGTGAGATGCAATTTCTCTTTATTTTATATATATTTCCTCCAAGCTGGTTCTCTTTATTTTAATTTCTTGAACCCTCTTCCCACACTTTGATGGAGTCAGTTAAACATTCACTAGCTCTGTTATCCCCACCTTTAAATGAAATAAATATGGTTTAAGTCTGAAAGCTGCTTGCTGCTACATGAATAAAGGTAGCAGGCACTTGCCTCAGCAAAACAAAAGCAGCTGAAATGTGGTGAAATGCACATATTTATAGATGACACTGCAGTATTTATAATGTGAGGCTGGAGTCTCTACAGTGGAGATCTGGCTCTGTGTGACTGTGCCACTGAGGTCAGTTCAAGGCAGCTGACTGGCTTTCTATATATGGCCTGGGGGACAGCTGTTAAATTTTGAGACTAGAGCATTTAAAACAAGTCTTGGACCTGTTAAAGTCTAATAATTAGAATGAGAAATGGCAGGACTGGGAGTAAAAGATGCCATAGTCTTGACATTAGGGGAATATTTCCAAAAGAAATGATTTTGTGTCAGGCTGTAGTTATTACAAAGAAAATATTTAATTATTTTTGTGGTCTGAGTAACAAGTAGAACAAAAAAATCAATGCAATAAAGTTTGTAATTTTGATTATGTGACTCTCTCTTTGAGCAGTACTTGAGCAGAAAAGCAGATAGGCTCTGATTAGGCTTATAAATATAGAAATGTATTGATCACACACAAAAACTCCTTTAAGTGTTCCCTGCATGAGGTCAATGCATCTTTTAAAAGAGTAAAAAGATGTAGCTTGTCTCTCAAGGCTCCAACAAAGTTCGTGGAGCTGACATCTCTATAAATTACAGAAACATATTGACTTCTTTATGGACTATCCACAAACCAAATGGGATTATGTTGAGCAGTGTTCAGAGAATGTGCAGAACCCTATTTTGATTCCATTGTATGGATGTAAATTTTGTCAATGTTAAAGAGTCCAAAGGAGCAGGGGGAGCTGTAGATAGACACATTTGCATGAAGGAACTGGATTTTTTAGCAAAGTTATGAAGATTTTGGTTGCAACAAATTCTAGCCCATTTACCTCAACACCCTTCACTTTTGTTTATATAATGAATGAGATATGTTTTCACCTTCCAAGGTTCTTATCCATCTATAATTTTAGTTGCTCTGAATTATCCCTGACTACATTCTCCAAACCCAAACAAGAGAATGTTCCTGCTGAACATCATCCTGTCACTACAGAAACTTTGGAATCTTTGTAGAACATTTCTAATGGCTGGCAGAAAACTTTCCTTTTCAGAAGTACACTTTTGGCTCAGTTCCTTTTCCCAGGGCAAATAAGGAGCGTTATCATTTCTCTTAGTAACCAAATACACGCTTGTAACAAAGTAACATTTATACAAAACTCTTAGAAAATATAAAAGAAAGCTAAGCATTTCCACATAAAGCAGCCCCTATGGTCTAAAAGGATGTTTGTTAAATTATCAATTATGTAAAATTACTTCAATTGTTTCTTCATAGCATCAAAATTCTAGAAACTCTTTCAAGACCCAAGTAGGCAACATCCACTGAATAAATGTTAAAGCTGTCACTTATGTATCATAGTTCTATGCTCTAATCACTCAAGCATTTTTAGGAAGAAGACTCATACTTCCCATCTTATAACAGGCATTTTATCCTAGTCATTAGAGATGTAAGTTAGCTCAAAATAAACCAGCCTAGATCTGAAGGGATTTGTACTAGAGACATATTTATTTTAAAATATGAGAATTAAAATCTTACTAACTTTGGTGTCATGTTTTCAGCTGCATAAGACATTTATCCAATTAACTATTTTATATGAGTGACTTCGATTAGATGTAACTATTTTGAAAAATAGGGAAAATCAAGATTATAATTACAGAATAAACAAAAAAAATCAGAGATTAAAAAATATACAAGTCTTTCATTGTACATATTTATTTATGTCTTCTCAGTTAAAAAAGAAACAATTCTCTTGAGTGCTTACCATGTCGTAAGTAGATATCATGTTAAGCGTTTTGCAGGTGTCAGTTCAGCCATCTCAAGAATCATTTAAGTTTGATACTATTAACATTACTTCTATTGTAGGAATGATGAAACTGAGACTTCACCATTAATTAAATAAACTTATTGGTAGAAGAGAGAGTCAAATTCTGGTATTTGTCTACCCCTTAAACAATATTGTGCTGCGTTTCTGATGGAAAACAAGAGCAGCAAATAGGAAGTCCAGGCCAAGCAAGTTCATTAACTGAGGTCACTCATCTACCTAATGGCAAAACATGAACTGAGACTATAATCTACTGACTCATAATCATTAAGACATTTTTATTCCATGAAAATATTAAATTTGTGTGCACATTGTGTATTATATGCCATCTTATAACTACTGTTTATAACTCTTACATAATTTATAGCATATATAAAAGTGATACAAGATTAATAGATTTTTAAAAATGATACACTTTATAATTTTGTCTATTGTTGCCGAAAAGGGCACTCAAAAACATCTCTCCCAAATACTCCACCAAAAGTGTTGTGGAAACCCCTTGAGAGAATTGCTCTATGATAAATGGGTCATTCCCTCCTCGGAGTGGTTGACTTTAGTTGAATAATTTAATTACTCTCCTTTTACTACTAGCTGAGTTTAATTGCACGGAAGGTACAGGGATGTATTTTACTGGTCACCATTAATTGTTGAATTACTTAATTTTGAGTTGGCATAGTGAAGGAATTCAGGGACGGAAAAATTTGATTTTGTTGCCCCCCACCCCACGCCCCCCCTCACCTCCCCCCGCTCCAGATGATTTGTGTAGAATAAACTTGGTAAGTTTTAGGATGCAGAGGATGGGGTAGGGAAAATGCAAGATCAGCAACTAGGAATAGTGCCAAAAGGGAGGAAAATATACCACAGATACTTCAGCTACTTGTTCATTTTTCCAGACGACTGGGTACTAGGTTTCATGTGATGCTATAAGAGAAACAGACAGACAGTATCTCAAATAAATGATAAGCACTTTGGACCTTGAGGGATCAAGAATGAGAAATGACAACTTTGCTTTTACTCACACTATTTTTTCTTTCCCTTGGATACCCTCCTTTCTCCCTATGCTATAGTTTGGTGTGTTTGACCCCTCCAAATCTCATATCAAAATTTGATCCCCAGTGTTGGAGGTGGGGCCTAACAGGAAGTGTTTGGGTCATGAGAGAGGATTCCTCTTGAATGGCTTAGAGCCATTCTCCAAATAATGAGTGAGTTCTCACTCTGTTTGTTCCCAAGAGAGCTGGTGGTTAAAAGAGCCTGGAACATCCCCCCTCCATCTCTTCCTTCCTCTCTCACTATTTGATCTCTACCCAGGATGCTTCCTTTTCCTTCTGACATGAGTGGAACCAGCCATAGGCCCTCATCAGAGGCAGATGCTGGCACTTTGCTTCTCGTACAGCCTGCAGAATGGTGAGTCAAATAAATACCTTTTCTTTATAAATTACCCAGCCTCAGGTATTCCTTTATAGCAACACAGAAATGGAGTAAGATCCTCTCTATCCACCTGGAAAATCCTACTTCCCAGAGAGTTTTCTTTTATTTGCTCTTGCCAACAAAGTAGGGTCAACAGCTTGAAACCAAACCTTGTAAAGGTTGCTAATGTGTGGTTTTAAAAATTCAAATGCCTTTAGAAACCAGGCAGGGGACCTTAATGTGAAGCAGGAAAGATTATTCTAACAAAGGATTGTGTAGACTAAAAGGGGCATCACCCTCAGACACTGAATACTCAACAATTATTTGAACAACTTGAGTTAGGATTTCTTCTGAATTGTGCTGGATACTGCTTTGGCAGCTTAACAGAGGCTCGAGAGTATGTTGCCTCATGATTGTCAAAGGAAAGTCTATTATTACACTCCACAATGGCTCTAAAACCTGGTAATGGGCTATCCTATTTCTTACTACATTAAGTAACTTCTATGTCTAATGGCAATAATTTTTCAAGGTTCTTGAGCCCAATTTTTATAGATTTTTAAATTACCTATTCTCTGTATATATATATATATCAGTTTATATCCACCACTTCCAAACTTTTTCTTCTAACTTTCAATGTGCTGCTTCTGATTTTTGTGGCCTAGGACTACGGATAAATACATTTTTGAAATTTTGCATAAAATAAAAATAAGGTTTGAGTAAGCAATCTTAGAGCTATGTATAAATTGCAAGATATATTTTTTATATAATATTTGATAGATATTAAGCAATACATCTAACATTTAAGTAAATTTAAAAGTTAATTAAAATATTAACTATGACCTCACTATCAAACTTATAAACTATTAAAATACTAGTAATATTAATACCTATTATCTGTTCTTCCCATATTTAATTTCTAACTTCCCTACCAGAACAAAAACTACTCTTAATTTTGTGCTTATCATTTGTTTGTTGTAGTTTTTTAAATAGTACTACTATATATTTAAGTGTTAAACAATATGTTGCTTAGCTTTCTTGGTTTTGAGCATTATGAATTATCAAAATTATGTCTTCCACTATGAATTGCATTTCTCCCTCATTATATTTCTCACATTTATCCGTGTCGTTTTATGTAGTTGCAATTTATTCTTCTCATTCTTTCATAATATACCACCGTGATTATTGCAAAATTTCTTTACCCACATTCTAGTCAATGCATCATTTCTGTTTTTTTCAATTCTATGAACAATACTGTTACGAACATTATGTCTTTCCTGGTATACATATGCAAAATTTCCTCTAAAATATTGTTCAAACATTTTACTGTGATTTATACCACGATATAAATTTTAAACAACAGCTTGGTAGATATTTACAATAAGGAGTCTTTTAGTCTATGAATGTGGTATATCATTCCATTTATTTAAGCCTTTTAAATCTTTCTCTTTTTTTTTCTTCTTCTAGAGACAGAGTCTTGCTCTGCTGCTCAATCTGGAGTGCAGTGTTATGATCATAATTCACTGCAGCCCCAAACTCCTGTGCTCAAGCTATCCTCCCACCTCAGCTTCTTGAGTAGCTGGAACTACAGGCACATGCCAATATGCTTGGCTATTTTTTTAATTTTTATTTTTTATATATATGGGGTCTTAACTTTGTTGCCCAGGTTGTAAATATCTTTTCATAAAGTTTTCTTCTTTGCATGCAAACCATTAGCCACACTGAATTTTTCTATTCCCTCTTGAGATTACAAGTAGAAAGCAGACCTTCTAGTTTATCCCTTAGTTCTTTTAACATTCTTTCATATTTCCCATTTTCTTTTATCTCTAAACTATGCCGTGAGTACTTGCTCCACATCTGTCTTCCAATTCTTTTATAACCTTTGGCTGCTTTCTTACCTACAAATTAATTGTAAATTGTAAATTGTTGTTCTAGAATTTCATTTATTCTTTTCCAGATAAGTTTTGTAATTGTAATAGTTTATTTTCCATTGTTCACTTAAAAAAAAACTTTCTTCTTTTTCTCTTGAATATATTACATTATTTTATATTTTTTCTGATAGTTATATTATCTGAAGTCTTTGAGAGGCCTAAAGTTGTTGCCTTTTTAGTTTCTGCTTACTCTACCTCATGTTATATTGTGTTTTCTAGGTTTGTTTGTTTGTTTGTTTGTTATTGAGACGGAGTCTCGCTCAGCCGCCCAGGCTGGAGAGCAGTGGCGTGATCTGGGCTCACTACAAGCTCCACCTCCCGGGCTCAGGCCCTTCTCCTGCCTCAGCTTCCGAAGTAGCTGGGACTACAGGCGCCCGCCACCACGACCGGCTAATTTTTGATTTTGTATTTTTAGTAGAGATGGGTTTTCACTGTGTTAGCCAGGATGGTCTCTATCTCCTGACCTCGTGATCTGCCAGCCTTGGCCTCGGAAAGTGCTGGGATTACAGGCATGAGCCACCGCGCCCAGCTAGGTCTGTTTTTATGATTAAAATATATTAGCTATACTTGGTTGAAGTTAGTTTGTAAAAAACTGGGTCTGACTCAATGATGTTAACCTCCAAAGAGAATTTTATTTGTTCCTGCTGGATCCCAGAACCTGCTATTAATCTGAAGCTACTTTAACCTCCTCAGTGTTTCAATCTTAATCCACTGGTATTAGGTCCAGCTCTTTCACTGGTATTCCCAAGGCCTTGGCTCGAATTGCAGCATCACTAGTGGTATTATTTCCCAGGGCAATTATGTACCATTCACAGCTACTTTCTCTCATTAAAGTTCATCGTTTTGTTGTGGTGGTGGTGGTGCTTTGGGCTTAATTTTTACTCTTTGGAGATTTTCCGTATTTGTTATTAACCTTGACCTCAATGTCTTTCAAAATACGTTTTATCCAGATTGTAGCCGTATTGTAGCCAAAAGACCTTTCAAAGTAGCTAGCTTAACTCCCTTATTTCCAGAAACCAAAGCCCACATGCATGATATCAACTTTATGGCTACTTGACATCTACTGAGTGAATGACAAAATTCATTAGCAAACTAAAGAACATAATCAGCTTATGTGTGAATGTGTTGGGGAGTCTGCTTACAAATTTATGTTTGACTTATACAAATAACTGTACCTGTTACTTTGGATAAATGAAATTGATGAATCTCTTTGGGGACTATGCAAATATTAAAAAAGAAGAGCCTGAAAGTTTTATCTGCTGGATATAATGTTGTGGGAATGTTAATAAGAGTTAGATTATAACTTCTGTTAATAAGATATCTCTGGTGCTATAAAAAGAGGTTTTTGCTTCATTGATAGTACAGTGAATTAAAAAACATTAAGTAAATGCTTTTCCTCATGTGTCCACATTAAGAGGAGAAGGCAAGTTCTTGTTGGAAAAGTACTAATAGGACTTCATTCTTCTAATTAGATTTACTTTTTTTCTTTTCCTTTTGACAGCTGCCTGGGAAATATATAAAATGTAGTGAGCTGAATGGCATTAGGGATTTAATAGTGTCTGAGAAAAAATTCAACTATCTGTGCATTGTTTTAAGCCAAAGAAATACAATAAATTATCCAATTAACCTTACAGTCCTGTGGGTCTTTAAGTGTTATATTGTACATATTATCTTTCAAAGGACTATTCCACTCTCTTCATGGTTTTGCTTTATCATTTTGGTAAGTACTTTCAAGTTTGTGTATGCATCAGGATGGCTGAACAGGTTTCTTAATACATCCCATGAGGTGGCAACAGAGAGACTCCAGGGTTGAGGTGGAGGCAAGTGATACTACCTTTATGGTACAGTGCTATCATATTACTCCAACTACTTGCCACAGCAATGGCTGGAGTGCAGGAAGGTTCTGAGGATGTGGGGAGGAGGTGTATAAGACACAACTGTGCCTAGGATGCTCATTTTGAACAATCAGTTAGGACTTTCTACAGTTTGCGTACTCCTTAGTCTCTTGTACATCACATAGTAACTACTCCTTAGATTGCTTTTCCTGTGCTTTTTGCAAGTTAGGGATTATTCACTTCATTAAGGTGTAATCTAATACACTGGAATTGTCTTTTCCATAAATCATAAAAATAACTGTTCTATAGTGTCCTGTTTATGAAAATTCTTAAACATCACTTAGATTTTATAGTAAATATAAATATCACAATTATTCCTTTGTGTTTAACTACAGAAAAGCAGAAAATATTATTTTATGCCTGTGAAATGCAATGCAGGAAATTTAAATTCAGGATATAAATCAAGCAGCTGAGAGAAAAATCCATGATTAATTTAATACTTTATTGAAAAAGGCACTAAAGAATGGTCACAAATGTAGTGGTGTATTATAGATAATCTAATTGTTTATGTAACTGCAAATTTTTTTAAAGGCAATGTCTTTAGTTCTGCTCATAAAAAAAAAAAAAAAACAGCTTGAGCCCACAACTTCTAATCACACATTCAAATGTATTCAAACTACAGATGTTAATCACTCAATTCATCTTTCCAGCTGTGATGAAGATGAGGTTAGGGTGAAGTTGAGTGTATGAGTTTTTCAAGATAACAGATTATTGAAAATCTGGGCATCTACCTGGGTTTTGTTTTTTATGTTTGGAAATAAGAGTGGGTCAGAGCACATAAGAAAAA
The DNA here is from genome assembly GCF_000001405.40 of Homo sapiens. Taxonomy (NCBI): domain Eukaryota; kingdom Metazoa; phylum Chordata; class Mammalia; order Primates; family Hominidae; genus Homo; species Homo sapiens. Next base: position 117,442,233 of record NC_000005.10, read on the forward strand.
TGTTAAAATCAAACTGAAATCTGAGAAGAGACAGTCTCTCAGAGAGCCAGCAAGCCTGAATGGGATAGAAGAGAAGACATGAATTAATTAATTAAAAGAGGGAATTGAAAGACTGCTGTGAAACAGCGTTACTGAGGAAGACCAGTTTCAGAGAATATAAGGTAGGAAGATGATTTAAAAAGCAATGACTATGGACCAATCAGACGAGAACAATCAGAGATGAAAAAAATAATTTCTGAAAATGTATCGGGTAGCTTATGAAGCTAAGATCATGAGATGACACCTAGGGCAGAGCCTAATTTTCTCACGTAAGTCTCTATAACCTCTCAGATACGTATATGCACTAAAGACATGCAAGTGCAGTTGAGAGGGCAAATTAGTTTTCTGCAATGCTGTCCTAATATGTTCAGACACATATTTCATAGCAATTCTCATACCCATGTGAGAATGTGTTAATTACAACAATGTTTATGGTGGTCAGGTGTTACAGACAATTTGGGTGACAGCACCAGAAAATGTGAGTAAACATAAGTAAATGTATACCATGATAAATCTTTCAGTGATTCAAACAGTGAATTAGATATATTTATGGCAAAATGGATATATAAATAAATATATGTAATATTTACATATATTATATATATCCTTCCTGATATTGGTCAATCTACCTAAAGTTATAACAATTTCATCAAAATTTAAAAAAAATCTGCATTTATTTGCTTTTTCTTTAGTTTTCTCTCTTTTTAAATTAACTTTTGCCTTTACATTTATTATTTACTTTCTTCTACTTGCTTTGAGATTTTCTTCTTTATCCAGTTTATTATATTAGAAGCTAATATCACTATTTGAGACTTTTCTTATAAGTATTTAATGCTATAAATTTCTTTCAAAACATTGTTTTAGCTGTATTTCACAAACTTTGATATATCATTAGCATTTTTATTTAGTTCAAAATGTTGTGTAATTTAATTTGCCTTTGCTTTCTTTAAAACATGGGCTACATAGAAATGTGTTTACTTTGTAATTACTTGAGAATTTCCCATACATATTGCTGTTTTTATATATATATATTTGATATATAAATATATGTGATATATATAAGATATATATGTTAATATATAGTTTAGTTCTATTATGGTCAGAAAATACATGTTTTATAATTTCAACTCTTTTAAATTTATTGATTTTGCTCTGTGGCTCAAATTATAATTTCTCTTGTTAAATGTTTCATGTCCACTTGAAACTAATGTCCATTCTGCTGTTGTTAAGTTGAAAGTTCTTTAAATATCAATTAGTTGATTTTACTCCCTGGTAAAATTTCTTGTTTTGAATTATACTTTGGATCATATTTACATGGCCACTACAGTTTCCTTTTCATTATTATTTTAATGGTGTATCTTTTCCCATCCTTTTGCTTTTTCTATATGTGTCTTTACATATATATTTTGTAAACAGCATGCAATTCAGTATGGCTTTGTTATCCAAACTGATAATCTTTGTCTTTTTATTGGAGTGTTTAAAACAATTACATTTAAAATAATCATTGATATGTTTGGGTTCAAATATTTCTTTTTACTTTTTTTTCAATTTGTAATATCTGTTCTTTGTTCTAATTTTCCTCTTTCCATGTCTTCTTGGATTATTTTTATTGTTTCATGTTATCTCCACTAATTATTTATTGGTTACACTTATTTTTTCTCCTTTTGTTTTAGTGATTGTTATAGGGTTTTATATACCTATGTCTCTCTCTCTCTTTCTCTCTGTGTGTATGTGTATTTAGCTTATAATGGTCTACCTTCAAATAATATTATACTACATTACATGTAGTATAACAACATAGAATATACATTCATTTTCCCCCCATCTTGCTTTGTGCTATTTATGTCATTCATTTTACTTCTACATATATTATAACTCCCAAAATATATGTTGTTATTTTGGTTTACACATTTGACTTTTAAAGAGATTTAAAATAAGGAAAAATATAGTTTATACATTTTCTTACATTGCTATACCTCTTTTTTTGTGTATTTATAAATGTATCTGTTATATTATTTCTGCTTAAATAACTGCTTTTAATGTTTATTTTAAACTTTTGGTTTGGCTGTTTTTCTTTCAGTACTATATATTACCTCATTTTCTTTGGACTGCATACTTTTAAATGATATATCTGATATAATTGTTACCTCTGTTCCCTTATATAAGGTGTGTTTCTAGCTTGTCCAACCTTTACTACTTTTTACTCATCTTTGGTTTTCAGCAGGTTGACTATGATATGCCTATGTATGTTATTCTTTATATTTATCCAGTTTCGAGTTCTCTGAATTTATTAGAGCTGTAGTTTATTTAGTCTTTCATTAATTTCGTAAAGTTCTCACCCATTATCTTTTCAAATGCTTCTACAGCCCTATTCTCTTTGTTTCTCTCATCTAAGGCTGGGCGTCCAATTACACATATATTAGATCATTTATTAATGGTCTTGGATATTTTATTTTTTCACTATATTTCATTCTCTCTCTCTCTACACACACACAGTTACACACACATTATATTTTGGAAAACTTTAATCAAAATATATTCTAATTCACAGTTAACTTTCTGTAATGCCTTTAGTCTGCAAATAAGCATGTGAAAAAATTTTTCAACTTTCATATCATGTTTTCTTAATCTGTCATTTCACAGGATTTCCTTTATAGTTTCTATCTTACTGCTAAAATTCTTCATCTGTTCCACACCGTTCTTATTTTCCATAGATTAATGAACATATTCATTATAATTATTTAAAAGTCCTAGTCAAATAGTTTCAAAATATGTTTCATTTCTGAGTCTGGTTCTGTTGACTGCTTTCTCCCTTGATGATGAGTTCTTTTTTTCATGCTTATTCATGTCTCTTGTGATTTTTAAAATTAGATTTAGGTATTGTATGCAAAAGAACAACGGAGACTAAAGTAAACAGCATTAACTCCTGGGAATTGGTATGCTTCTGCTTCTATCAGGTTGTCTCGGGGATTGAGACTTCTATTAGTCTCTTTAACTCTGAGTCTCAGAGAATGTGGAGAGAGCCTATTCTCAGTATTTTTGTCTTTTCCTACACAGCAACAAAACTGCCTTTCATAGTTAAGAAGTCTTGTCCAGGTGGTCTTGAACATAAGCAGTTTTTTTTCACTTCTCTTCCAGTAGCAACAGCATCGCGCTTTGTATTTGTGTAGGAGCCTTGAAACAACAGAGAATTTATCCTTTCTCCAGCAGCAGCCAACCTTTGCTTGGGATAAAAAGAAGAAAGATTTACTCTAAAAGACAGACAGGTTTTCCTTTATTTTTTCTCCAGAGTCAGCTTACCTATTTCTGGAATCTAAGCTGAAAGTTTTCTTGCCCCTTACCTGGAGGAAGACAGTTTTTGCTTTATATGAGAGAAGAGTTAATTGTGGGTTTCATACCTGTTCTATAGAAAGAAGCAACTTACCTCAATGTTTCATCATTAAGGGAGACTTTCTCAGGTGGCCTTTTTTGATTCTACTCTTTCTCATGGACACCTGGTGGAGGCTCATGAGAAAGTTCTGGCAAGTGGGTGAAGACTACTTTTGTATTTAGAACTCCCAAGAATATTAACCTGTGCCACTAGCCCACACTCTCTGTTTATGTGTTTGTTAACACTGAAGATTTTTTCTTCTTATTCACTTCAATGAGTGTCATCTCTGTTTGATGTGCTTTGCCGGGGCAAGATACTTAGCGTGGCCTGTCCTGTCTTTCCTTAGAGGAATTTGTTACACTTTGAAAATCAAAGTACCTCATTGCCTTGGGATTTCAACTCATTGAAGAATTGAAAAGCAAGCAAACAAGCAGGCAAACAAATGAAACCCCAATAACTCTGGTTCTGTATATTTTCTTTGTTTTACTTATTGTTGGGTGGGATCAACGTTCTCTTATGGCTTTCTGGATTCTTAACAGAAGTAAAACTCTGATTGGTCTTTAAGAATAAACCTTAGTGAAAAAAATGAGAACTATAATGACATATATAATAGCATTTAAGTAAATTAAAATATCTTCACATTATACAATTTGCATTTTCTAAAAGAATTTCAAATAAAATTAAATACATTATAATTGTTGCCTGAGGAAGAAGCAAAGGAAAGTGATATATATTAACATAAATGAATGAATTAAAGATAAATGAATAAAGCAAGAAAGGAAACTTTCATTAAACAAAGTTGATTAAGTGCAATAGACAGTATGATAAACTCTGTCCTTTGTACTTGAAATCCAAAAGGTATTGATAAACAAACAACCAAACACAAAAGATTGGATATATGACATTATCTTTTTCCACTTGTATTGCAATGCTGTGCATATATATCATCTTGGATCCCTCAATATGCTGCTTATAAAGCTTATTTTACTTTAATAATAAATGTATTATGAAATATAAAATTTGACTCCATTGCATTACTGTAAATATTTTAGTGGTTTTTTTGTGAGTATATGTAGCTAATTGGAGGATGAAATACAATGTTTTAAGCAAGTGTGATTAACATAATAAAGCACATGAATTACTATATTTTTGTGAAAAGAATAAAACAAAATACTATGAACATACATCATGGAGGAAATATTTTATTTGTTAATATCGTGTTTACTTCTTTAATGGAAATAATTTTAGTTCTGTGTATCCATTTGAAATAAAGTCAATAGGCAAAGTGATTTGTCTAGGCTGTGAACGATTTGTGGTACCTTGGGACAGATATTTTGCCAATTATGAGCCTCAATGTTTTTTATCAGACTCACGAGGTAATTAGATTTTAAGGTCACTTCCAAATCTCATAATAAAGAATAGCCTACAATAGATAGCAAGTCTTGGAAAATGTTTGGATAAGATACCAGAGAGTACAGCCTAAGACAGGACACCTTGATAAAAGAAAATGAGAGAGAACTTTGTAGGTTGAGATTTATCAAGGTAGTTAAAAAAATAAAAACAAACTAGTAGAATAGTAAAAGTAGGAGCAACTTTCACTGACTGTAAGTAGCATCATGTAGTAAGCTTTGAGTAATATTGAATAAAATCTTAATTCAATTCCACTGTCTTGTGCCTACACATACATCTCTGTATGAGTCTTGTTGGCTGTGCAGATTTAGAAAATTGATAGTTCTACCTCAAAACCACTATGAGTATTCTAAATAGGATTTAGATTCCTCTCTAATTTAGCTTGGTTTTTCATCAAAAGCAGAGACTGTAAAGGATTTGTACATAGGTGGTTTATTTAGAAAGCAATGGAACCTCAATTTAGAGAGCTAAGTGAGTTTCCAGCAAGAGTGGACAGCAAAGGAAAAAGAGTCCACCCAAACTACATTATCGGATTGCTCAGTGGATGCATCAGTTGGAGATAGATCTCTTGAAGTCCTTTAGGGGAGTAAATAAAATGTTTCTCAAATTTTCCACAAAAGATCTCTAAGCAAAAAGCACATGACACACCTATCTTGAAATGCAAGTAATATCTTATACTCTTGAGCTGTGTGTGTATGCATGCCATACAGTCTCTCAACACTGCTCCATATCAGGACTTAGAAAAGCCCAGGAAGAAAGAAAAACTCATGCAGAGACTGTTTGAACCAAGGCACTGTCAATATACCTAAGTCCAGTCTTACCAGAAGCTATTTACAGAACAAGGTGAGTCTGAGAGGATGATGTGGGGTGGTGTGGAAAAGGGTCTGATATACCTGAAGCTTTGGCATGGCAAGTAAGTTATTAAATTCCCTCCGTCTGGGATTGGTAAGACAGTCCTTCAGTGTGATTCACAGAAGAATTTGCTTCTTATCTTCTCCTGGCTAAACTTAAGACTGAGCTTAAATCTCAGACCATTGGCAGAGTATCTGCCTAATCTTTCAATATACTCAAGGATCGGCACGGGGATGTTGGGATGGAACATTTTTCTATGTACATTTAAGTTTCATGGAAAAAAACTAACACATATTTTGTGTGTGATTTTTACATAGGGCAACGATTATTCTGAGTTAAGTACTTTTTGAAATAAGAAACAATATTTTTATTAATTTACACTTAAGAAATAATTTCTCCTGCTGTTTCTTGTGCTTTCTTCACTCTATTGGCAGAGGTTTTCTGTGCCTTTGAAAAGCTTTCCAAGTGCTAGAGTTGCTTCATTCAAAGTTTGCTTTCTCAAAGTTCCAATAAACCTAAAACCGTATTATTTTCATAGTGGAAAACTCAATGTGCTAGTTTTCAATCAGAATATATATTTTTTAAATTTCTGGTTGCTTTGTTTCACTTTACTTAGCTTCACAACATAAAAATAAAGAATTAGAAGTGTTTATTTTCTCTTCAATAAACATATATCTTGAACAATAGTATTAGTTATCAAAAGTGACTTTCACCTCCAGATGAAAGATACATTGTTTAAAGAAAGGAAAAGTATGGAAATTTCCACAGAACTACTTTTCAAAATTACTGTTTTATTCATTTTGATATATTTAGAAAAATGGGAAAATAAGTCATTTTGAAGTGGTAATAAGATATAATCTTTAACAAAAGAAAGTTTAGGGACATACTACTAAGAAAAAAATAATAGCTTTGTCATCAGTAAGAGAGATGTCACTGGGTGACTATGAGAAGACTGGAGGTAAAGTGGAAATGCAAAAAGTTGAAGGAAGCCAGCTGAGAGGTTAGATTTAGATCATAAAATTCTGAGAAAAATAGATGAAGCTTGGTGAAATCTCAAATACATTTTTATTAGTAAAACAATTACAATCCCACTTTCTTACCAAGTATTAAAGGTACTTGAAACTTCTAATTCAAAAGATCAAAGAGAGTGGATGCAATGCATTCATATTGTTCTTTTAGTATAGTTTTATGTTTCTCATGGACTATAAACATTTTTACTTTCTTTCATAATTTGTGCTGCACAGTTTCCTCTCAGCGTGAAATCAAATACCATTTCCTTACTTTTTGGTAGACCTTTATAAAACGATTACACTATAAACCAATCAACAAAAGATGACATTTAAAATAGCCATCTACCTTTTGGCATTGTCTACTGTAAAATTAAAAAAAAAAAGATTGAAGCAGTGTTTGCCTCCCAACTGTCCTTGCCGTCACAGAGGACATGGAAAACCCAAATCAGAGGGCTAACAGTGCCACTGTTGAATTCCATGTCCTTTAACTCCTTACACAAGTAAGTGCTCAACATACCAATGACTTTTTCTAACCCAAACTATTGTAAAGTTGCTATTTTGTTAATCTGGAATGCATTTTCCTGTGGAAACAATATCATAAACTAAATGGAGTCCCAGATATACCTGTTGAAGTAGTTTTAGTATTCATTTAACAACTAGAATATTAATTGGGACAGTGCTGTTGCTGAGTCTTACATTGACTTTGGGGAAAGGATAAGGAGAGATATACAGTCAAGTAGAAAAAAGAGGAAGAGATAGTCTCCCTATTATGGGTTCAGGCTAAATCATGGGAAGATGTCAAAATAAGGCATTTGAAATAAAGAGGAACATTCTCTCTTGGCTTTTCAGTTCAGAACTCATGCTCTAAGTCTCCCTTAGTTGGCATCTCAGATAGGTGTAAAGAGGGAAGGCATCTTATTCAGTCTTGATGGTTATGACTGATGCATCACCTTTTTAATTCTGTCAAAAGGTTAAAAAAGAATATTAATAAAATAATCTGTAACTACCATGCATGGCAGACCATGTCAGCCTTTATCCCAAATCCATTTTACTTCTTATCTGGGCATTTTTTTTTTTTTTTTTTTTTTTTTTTACTTTCTTATCTGGACAAGAAGGAGTGATGAACTCCTCCTTCTTGAAGGCAAAGTTCACATCGCTTCACTTAGCAAAACATCACCATATTCTGAGCTCCCAAATCATTTGGCTGTTCGTTGATGAAGCCAAGGTTCTTTATATTTAATAAAGCAGGAGTAGAAGGAAGACAGGTAAGGAGAGAAGGGAAAGGAGGAGAAAGACAATAAAGGGAGAGAAGGAGAGGAGAAGAAAAAGAAGAGCAAAAATGTTTTATGCTTTCTTTCTTTTATATTCACAAGGTATGACCCATATCCAATAATATTTGGTACTTTCAAATCTTATTTGGAATATTTGGTACTTCCTTGTAATAAATTTTATTCTTTTAAAAACTAATAGGACTTAATATTTAGAGAGTTAATTTTTGAAATTTAATATTAACCTAATGCATATTTTGATTAAATAAAATAAATTATTCCCTACAAGAAAGTCCCTTTGGGGAGTTTATTGTCTTTATATTTTGCATTCTATTCACATGTTTTCTTACACAGTATCTGTGGTGTGATTTTTATTTTATGGAAGGAGTGGCTAAGAAATGGTCTGCACACAGGTCAGTTCAGAATTCCCACTACTCCACATTTATCCAAACAGCCAATTCATAACAAGTGTTATGAACGAGAGTTACATTTAGCGACATAGAAACACACTTCCAGTTATAAAAGTCATTTCTTCCCTTCTTTCTTTTTCTTTTCTTTCTCTTTCTTCCTTCCTTCCTTCCTTATTTTCTTTCTTTCTTTCTTTGCTTTCTTTCTTCTCCTTCCTCCTTCCCTCCCTCCTTTCTTTCTTTCTTTCTTTCTCTTTTTCTTTCTTTCTTTCTCTTTCTTTCTTTCTTTCTTTCTTTCTTTCTTTCTTTCTTCTCCTTCCTCCCTCCCTCCCTCTCTCTCTCTCTCTGTCTCTCTCTCTTTCTTTCTTCCTTTCACCACATTTTGACAGTAACATCAGCCCTATGTCAAACATGAGACAGGCTGGACCAAGGTCAGGTTCAGGAAAAGTAGACAGAGTACACTATGAATTATCTGTTTTTCTTGAAGTTGTGTGTATGTGAAATGCATTAAAGTAAATATATGTTATTATTTGATTTAAATATTAAATGTACCATGTGCATTATAGGGTTTATTTATTCTAGAAATTAAATTCTGGCTTACATACTTCAGAAACAGCATTTCTTCAACGAATTCCATCACATTTGTCCCAAATTCAAAAAAATTTCCTTTTCACAGATTTTTGCAATTTTTTTACCCATTATCTCTCATAGTAGTATATGATTTTCTAGAGGGCAAAAGTATTTTTTATCGTCTTTGCACTTTGCTGTCGTTAGCAAGGATCTTAGTGTAAGACAGGTGTTCAATAAATATTGAATGATTGAGTGGAAATTGTCCAAATGTTCTGCTTTCTGTAGAATGTTTTTATCCTTTACTTTTTACATCTCAGATCCTCTAATAGTTTCTATTATTAAATTATTAACTCAATTAAACATTAGCTCCCTTGGGGCCACAGAAAGGGCTTCTCCTCTATATCTACAAGGTCAGCAAGAGCAATCACTTGTAAATTAGCTGTAATGGGATGTGATTGCTGATGTTTCTCTGTACTTATAAATCTCATTTCTTATTTTGCAGGCAAGTTCCTAATGGATAATATGATGTAACTTTGGTGATTTTGTGATTTTGACACCTATAGTAATTGTTTCGAGGGAACTAAAAACCTCATAACAGATAATCTTTACAAAAAGCAAAGAATCATGTCTCTATCTATAGTCTGCTTTTTACAATAGATCTGTATAGTTGGAGCCTACATTTTATACCAAGTATTCATAACTCTAGATATACTTATTGTTCAATTGACACCTTCATCAAATATTTTTCTACTGCTTTCAAAAGTCTAAATTACAGATAAACAATAGTTTTTACATGGAGCTTAGTAAACTGAAAGTAAACTTCTTAAAATAAGTTTTAGATTTACCTCATTCCCATCTTCTCGTAAAATATATCACTCTGTCTAGAAGAATGGGAAAAATGGATAACCACAGAAAAGGAGTTTTTGGTTGAGGATTCTAGCGATAAGGATATTGGTCTTCCAGCTTCTGTTGAACCCTCTGGTCTGGCAAAAGCCACTCTTTCCCCTTGCCAGACATGAGCAGCCTCATCCCAGCAGTCTTTACAAAAGCCCCATTTGAGGAACATAGCTCAGAAGATAGCATCTTTTCTCCTCAAGATGCTCCCCAACCATTTTTATTGTCTCTAGGTGGATAAGCAGAGTCCACTTTCAGCATAAGCCATTCAGAAAAGTGTAATCTGTGGTCTGGAGGAAATAGATCATACCTAGAAGAAATTTTAGGAGTTCACTAATACACACTAGCCCACCTGGATGTGGGGGAATATGTGTGGAAGGAGTACTGGACTGTAGACTTATGCAGGATTTATCAAAATGTAGTCTGGGGTCAGTAGCATTGCATCACCTACAAACTTGCTAAAAATGCATTTTTGGGCCCTATCTCAGACCTACTGAATCAGAAATTGTGGGGATGGCACCCAGCAATCTGTGTTGCAACAAGCCCCCCAGGTGCTTCTGATGCCTGCAACAATTGGAAAACCACTTCTCGCATGCATCACTTTACATCATTTGTAGCTTCACTATGCCTTGTTACAGCTACTATTGTGGTCACCTGCTCTGCATGGGCTCCAACAAATGCAGCCTAACAGTACCATGCCTCATGCATGTGCCCTGAACCTCTTGCCTCCTGCCCTACGGCTATCTTTGGATGCCAAAGGCACAAAATGCTGTGGGATTTAGTTTACTACCATATATATGCAATGTGGAAGTATGAAAATTTTCCAGTTTCCCCAGAGACAATCTTTGACACATGGGAGACACTGGGGAAAACATTTTTTATCACTTTTTCCCTCTGGATAGACTGTTTTGAAATACAGTTTATATGTTTTCTTAGAGAATGCTTCTTAGAGATCAGGCAATCACCACTAATTCAATAGCACATTTTTGTAGTATACTCTACTTTTTAAATACTCTTTCTCTCCCTTTGTCTCTCAGGTCAGCTCTCTGGGATTACATTTCCTAAAACAGTAGTAGCTCATAAGCCTTTGCCTCAATCTCCAATTTCTGGGGAAACCAGGCTAAGACAAAAGATGCCCAGTACGTGAGATTCATTGCAGTATCATTGTGGCAGTTCTGATGTGTACTTTCTACGTAGAAAATAATATGCAAAATTCATATTTTTATAAAATGTTATAATAAAAATTGTTACATTTAACATATTAAATAATAAAGTAAATGCCTGAGAGCAAACTAAGACATTTAATATATGCATTAAGTTTCTAATCATTATTTTTAGGCAATTCTACTGGGTACCCAATGAGGTTTTATTGTACCACTTATTTATTTATTTATTTAATTTTTATAGATTTTAGGAGCACGCATGCATTTTTGTTACATGGATATATTGCGAGCAGTGAAGTCTGAGTTTTAGTGTAACCATCACCCAAATAATGTACATTGTACTCATTAGGTATTTTTTCATCCCTTACCCCTCTCCCACTGTCCCGCCTTTTGTAGTCTCCCAAGTCTATTATTCCACTCTGTATGTCCACATGTATACGTCGTTTAGCTCTTATTTATAAGCGAGAGCATGTGGTATTTAACTTTTTGTTTCTGAGTTATTTCACTTAAGATAATAGGCTTCGGTTCCATCCATGTTGCAACAAAGGATGTAATTTCATTATTTTGTATGGCGGAGTAGTATTCTATGGTATGTATATACCACAGTTTCTCTATCCAATAATCTGTCAATGGACACTTAGGTCAATTTCACATCTTGGCTAATGTGGACAGTGCTCTGAAAAACATAGAAGTGCAGGTATCTTTTTGATATATTAAGCTCTTTTCCTTTGGGCAGATAACCAATAGTGGGATTGTTGGATTTAAGGATAGTTCAAATATTACTTATTTGGGAAGTTTCTACACTGTTTTTCGTAGAGGTTGTAATAATTTACATTCATACCAACATTGTGTAAAGCATTCCCTTTTCTCTGCATCCTCTCCAACATCTGCTATTTTTTGACTTTTTAATAAAAGCCATTCTGATTAGTGTGAGATGATATCTCAGTGTGGTTTTAATTTGCATTTCTCTGATGGTTAGTGATGTTGAGCATTTTTTTCATGTCTGTTGGCTGCTTGTATGTCTTCTTTTAGAAAGTGTCTGTTAATTTCCTTTGCTCACTTCTTAATGGAGTTTTTTTATTGTTTAAGTTACTTGTACATTTCTGATATTAGCCTTTTGTGGGATGCATAGTTTGCAAATTCTTTCTCCCACTCTGTAGGTTGTCTGTTTACAGTGTTGAGTATTTATTTTGCTGTGCAGAAGCTTTTCAGTTTAATTAAGTCCCATTTGTCTTTTCTTGTTTTTGTTGCATTTGCTTTTGAGGTCTTAGTCATAAATTATTTGCCCAGGCCAATGTCCAGAAGAGTTTTTCTTAGGTTTTCTTCTAGAATTTTTATAGATTGAGGTCTTACTTTTAAGTCCTGATATGGCTTGGCTGTGTCCCCACCCATGTCTCATCTTGAAATGTAGCTCCCATAATTCCCACGTGTCATGGGAGGGACCCAGTAGGAGGTAACTGAATCATGCGGGCAAGGTCTTTTCCTTGGTGTGGTGAATTTCTCAAATGGTGGTTGTAGTAGTGACATACTGGGCACGTGAGTAAATGCTCAGTCTCCTATAGAGACAGGCAGGTGGAGGCCTCAAGAAGCTTATCTCATTTCCATGCGCTGTGCTCTGGAGTCAGATTTTGTATCGGGTTGTGCAGTTCAACCTCCCGGCCAGTAGGTGGCACTAGTAAGTAAGAACTGGCTGTGGCAGAAACAGGTAAGTATAGGCTTAATCTTTATTTTCTAGGAGGAGCTCGCTGTTACCTGAAGGGATGGACTGGTCGGTGGAATGTCCGGTGCCGTGAGTTACCTGCTCAGCCCTGGAGCAGGGGTCAAAGCTGGGCGGAGCTGGACAGCCAGTCTCAGCCTCAGGTACTCCAGTGACAAGCAGCAGCACCAGTGCTGATGAGGGTAGCAGGGAAAACTGGTGAAATGTGCCGAGGTCTCTCCAGAGGTGGTAGGCGGTTGCGCCAGCTTCACATCCTGGATAGGCAGGAACGTTTCCCTATCATACTCCTGTCCCGGGTCTCATGTGTCTCAGTTCAAACAGACACTGCCGTCTATCTTCAAGCTGCAATGAAGCTGAGAGCCACAGAAAACACCTGTACCATGGTTTCAGGGAGGAGTCTCTTCCCTCAGCCGAAAACAGACAGCTTTGCTGGTCATCTGTTCTCCACTGCGAGGACGCTGCCACTCAGTGTGGAGAGAGGAAGGGGTTCTGCCTATGGTGCAAGAAGGTCGGACTCGGCAGGTAGGCACACCACCAATATCATTGTAGCTGCTCCTGATAGTCCTGTATTGGCTGTCCACAGGCATCCACGGCTTTGTCTGCAGCAGTGGGCAGTCGGGAAGGAGAAATCCTCCTCTCTACTACTGTGCCTGAGCACTGGGGCTGCCTGACCACTGGGGCTAAAAAACACTTCCCCCCAGAGCACTGAGCATGGTGCCCATTTCTCTGCTGGAAGGGGTGCTGTCACCCTCAGTCCCCAAGCAGGAAACTCTTGGGCACGGGAGAGCATACGCTCTGGCTTCGTTTGTCCCATGGGGCACTCCCTAGGCGCGCTGCACTCTCCCTTCCCCTAGGGGCAGCATACCCTGAGGTTCAGACCACCGGGAATTCTGCAGCTACCTTAGGTACATCTGGCCCCATGTGTGGCTGCTGCAATCTAAGCAGGTGCTAGGGAATGTCTGCGGGGGATCTGGTGATGTGGAGACACGAAGGCTGAGATTTTCTGGGCAGGACAGAGGACCACAATGATGCACACTCAATATGGCGCTTACCACTGCAGCTCAGGTCTGGGGAGAGGGTGAGCAACTTTACACAAGCTGGTAGCCTGGTGCAATGCCCTCAGTAAATTAACAAATCACCACCCACACCGGTCCTTGGGCTAGGGCCAGCAAAGGAGCTCTCCTACAGCTCGGAAACCCAGTCTGCCACAGCTGTGAGTGGAACGCAAAACACCGCACCTACCCTTTCCACCAGACTCCAAGTTCCTTGGGGTTCAATCTCTGCCACACTCTTCCTTCTTTTTTCTGTGCCCTAGCTTCTTTCTGTGAGTTCTCCAATAGGTTCTGGCACTCTCTCCTTAATCTTCTATTCAACTTACGATTATTCATCTGTAACTTTGGTTCTTTCTGAGGAGAACTGGCATCTGACATCTCAACTCAGCCATCCTGAGAGGGCAGAATTTTGATAAAATTAATAACACTATTTTCTCCCTTTACTCTGCATCTCAAGAGAATGAAGCGGAGTTATGACTTTTTCAACAGAATCATAAACTTCCGTACGCCATTGAGGAATAAGGAGCATATTCCTTCAGCACCAGATTTACCTTTCTTCTTAGTGGCCTGATTTTGATGCTGCTTTTTTGGATTAAAAAAAAAAATCATTCACTTTGCAAATGGGATAATGAAAAGTATACACCTCAATTTCTTTTTGGGATTCAGTGGATCTTAAGAGAAATCAAGTTTCGATGTGATCAATGCCCCAGAAAACAGAGGTGCACTTACAGGGACATGCTAATGCTCTTGGTGATCCTTCTGTAAGATGCGAATGGTCATTTATTCCTCTCTTGTCTGAAAAGTCCTTCCTTAGGTGCCTAAATTACTCTTAGAGGTGCATCGCCAGCCCAGGAGAAACAGACTTCTGAGACAAGGCTATCTTTTGTTCTGTAATTTAGGGGATGTTTTGAAAAAGCCCCTGAAGTGAAATGTTCCCTTAACCTGCTCACAACATTGTCTTACATTTTTCATTAAAATGATTTTCTTCAACATAAGTTTTGATTTCCAGGAGGCTAGTGTTACAGTTTTAAGTGACTTTCTTTGAATGTCCAAAAACGCTTTAAGTGGAAAAACAGATGTTTTAGTTCTTTCTGTTGAAACCACCAACCAAACACTATTCAGATCAATGCATCTTCTCTAAGAATTCTATATTTAGCCCATTATTATGCATCGGGGCATGCATTAAAATCTTTTTCTTCCATTTTCAGACTATTCATATTTTAGGATTCTGGACTAAAACGTAAACCTATCTTGTTTTCATACTTCCACGTGCTTCTGTTATAAATAAACATGTCCCTGTTGTCAGTTTCAGCTCCACTCTACAGCTTATCTGTGGCTGACCCCCTCCACCTCTGACTTATTGGATCCTCATGAGGTCTCCACATCTTGATTTCTGAATAAGGCCTATCCCAAAAGATCCATCAGTAGTTATGTCATTGCTAACTCACAGTTACATCCCTAAAGTTCATGCCAACAAAATAAGCAATTGGATAAAATTATACTGGGGGATGGAGTAGAAAGCAAGTCCATTGGGATTTTACATTTTAGAAATGTGAAAGTAAAAAAAAGAGAAAATGTTGTCAATTGGTCGTAAGAATGGGACAGACTAAACAACACAAATGTCATTTAATCTTCTTTAAAAATAATCCATTTATGTTATACGCATTTTCATGAGTTTTGATATATGACTTTTAATGGCAATTTTTAGTAGTTTTAAAATATTCATCTAGCCTAAGTAGATTATGCTTGATTTGATCACTTCTATATTTGTGGTTGTATTGATTTTCTTCAGTTTCTTAAAGATAAAATTTATTGCAATAAAAATCTAGTTCTGCATATAAGTAGTCCTCTTCTGTGGAATTATGACTTTAGGAAATATATTCCCAAAGGTGGAATTACTGACTCAAATTGGATAAACATTTTATCTCTTACTACATATTGTTTCTTATAAAGCAGACAGCGGTGTTCAACTGTATTAGTTTCACTACAGTCTCACAAACTTTGAATGTTTTTATTTAAGCAATTGTTTTATCCATAGAAGAAGAATACAGTGTGTCCTGAAAAAAAAAATTTATTTTTTTATTTCTTCAATAATGGACAGAATGCACGTTTGCCATGTTTTTATAATCACTGCTTATATAAACTGTTTGTTCATATCCTTTGCCTTATTTAATATGAAAAGGAAGACTCTAAAAATACTGTAATAATCACAATATAAACACTTTGGAAATCCTGTCTGATGCAAATGTTTTCCTAACATTATTTTTTTCTTAGGCGCTTTCGTTTGTATGAAATTTTTATTATTTTATATATGTTCATGTTATCCTGTCAATAATTTCTTTCTATTTTTTAATCTCTGCTCTTCCTCACTGCTAGAGATTGGCATGCCCTTGGATGAGTTCTGTATTTATCATCTCTTCTATATCTGTTGTCATTTATAGGTGATTTCACTTGCATCTCACCCCTTTGGCTTTAAGTATCATTTATATGCAGATGATTTTTATATTTTTATGCCCTGACTCTACTTCTCCCCTGAGTTTCACACACATGTCCAACCAGCTACTCTTCGTCTCTACTTATACGTTTATCTCAAACTTAAGATATCTAAAGTAGAATTTTTGATTCCGTTCTCTAAACCTGTTTCTCCCCACTCTATCTCATCTTAGAAAATAGGTCTATACCTATTTTTGTAAGTCAAAATCTAGCATTGGTTTGATTTCATTCTTTCCCTCAACTTCACCTCTAATCGTCAATAAAGACTTTCATATTACTTCCATTTTTCCCCAACTCCATACTAGCTGAAACACCATCATTGTCTACCTAGGATACCAAAAGAATGACAATCTGGCCACCCTGCTTCAACTCTTGTCCCCTAAAATATGCAAGCAGATAGCGGAGTCAACCCTTTTACTTCCATAGATCAAATCACATGATCCTTCTGTGTAAAACTTTCCAATGTCTTCTCACCCCATGTAGAAAGCAATCCAAATCTCTTGCCCTGGCCATCCAAGGTCTAGATAGCTACACATTATGAAGCTACACTTACCTCTTAATTCATGCAATTTTAGTTCTTGTTCATTTCTCTGTACTCACATGGCACTTTGTTCTGTCCATAAA
The DNA here is from genome assembly GCF_000001405.40 of Homo sapiens. Classification (NCBI taxonomy): domain Eukaryota; kingdom Metazoa; phylum Chordata; class Mammalia; order Primates; family Hominidae; genus Homo; species Homo sapiens. The sequence goes on from NC_000005.10 coordinate 117,459,102, forward strand.
GCATGAAAAATTTGTTCTTACCCCAAGCCTTTACTCTTGCTGGACTCTGCATAAAATGCTTGTCTTTTTGATATGTGTACGACTGCCTCCTTTTTGTCACTCAAATCACAGTTCAAATATCACCTCCGTCAATTTTAATTTTGAAAGAGACTTTCTCAGAGCACTCAGCAAAAAAAAAAAAAAAAAAAAAGCTCCCAAGACACTATCTATATAGTATCATCCTATTTTGTTTTAGTAATAACACTTATTGTTTTTCTTTCTTTAACTTGTCAGTTGTTTATTTTCTATTTCACGGAAATAATAGAAGCTTCAGGAGAATCATTATCTGGCATCTCTAGCATCTTAAATCATGGAAGTAATTCAATCAACATCTGTTTGATGAATTAATGAATGAGGTTTTTTTTTTTTTCTGCTATAAATCTGAGAGTGTTATTTTGTGATGAATCCAGACACTGGTAAACTTTTTTTATTTTCTTGTTTTTCTCCACAATTTCTTTCTTAATTAAATTTTAATTTTTTGAATCAGAAATTTATTTGCATGGTTCAAGAAATTGAAGCTATAAAAAGCAGTATATTCATATCTTTCTCCCCTCCCTCTTTCTTGTCTCTTTAGTTTCATCACTCAAACAGGGGAACAACTGTTTTCAGCTTCTTACAGCACTTCCAAAGTTTGTCTATATAAAAATGACTAAAAATAAATATTTTTATTTTCTACCTTCTTTGTAAGCACTGAGGTTTCTTAACGTAAAAGCTGTGTTAACTTAGATTTTTCTTTCATCAATCATACATCCTGGATATCTTAGGAGAATTCTCATTATTTCTATAGCTATGTCACATTTTCATTGAGTAGATATATTATAATTAACATAGCCAATTCTTGTCCCCATCAATGCATATATGATTATTCCATTATTTTACATTTAATAATAATGCTGCTATGAATAACCTTGTACATACCTCATTATGCACATACATATGTCTCTAGGATATTACCCAAGTTGGAATTTCTGTGCCAAGAGGTATATGCCTTTGTACTTTTCATAGATGTTGCCAACTTGCTTTTCATAAATCTTATACAAATTACATGCCCATCAGCGATATATGATAATAACTGTTTCCTCAGAACTTTGCCAATGGGAAGTTTTAGCACTTGAGTTTTTGCCAATCTAATAGATAAAAATGGAATAATTTATCTTATGACTGATGAGAGAACATCTTTAAATATGTGTAAAAGCCATTTTTACTTTTTTTTTTACAAACTACGTTCTTTGCCAAATTTTTCAATTTGATTCATGTATTCATTCAATAAATATTTATTATGTGGCAGGTAGTGTTCCAGATACTTGAGATATAGCAAGTATATAGATGAGTTATATATTGCAAATAGACTTATGTTTATATGTTTGACTTTGCTTGTGTTTTCTTACCTTTTGGCCATGCAATGGTTTTGTTAGGTAATTGAATTTCTACTTTCTTTCTAAACCTTGTCTAGGAAGCTTCTGCTGCCACTGTGATACAAGTCATAGTTTTTGCATTACTGAATGAATGACTCCTCATCTTTAGGAAGTATATTTTTCTGGTGCCTTTAAAGTGCTGCCACTGCTGGGTCTTGCTTCACTCTCTTTTTTTTTTTCTTCTTCTTCTTCTTATGCAGCTTCTATAAATTTCTCCTAATTTCATTTTAAATGGGGTGCATGGAAAAGATATTTATTGCTTTTATATAATTTCCAGGAAGAACAGGTTGGCAGGAGAAGTTGATATAGACAACCATGTTCATACCAGAAGTCTCTACTTACATTTTTTTTAATAAGACATATGTAATTATAACCCTATAATAGGCATTGTCACAAAAAGTAGTCAAAAAAGTTTTGGGGGTTTCCACAGTGGCCAGCTGGGAGAAGTGATGTAGGAAAAATTTATTCTTCAAAGGTCATTGATATTGGAAGTGAATTATCCAATCAGAATACTATTAAGAAGGTAAGAGACACAAAATTGAAAAGTTCAAAATGGTGGAGAAACTCTTACTTCCAAGACAATGTAATTCTATATAAAATCTCTCTCTAATATCTTCACCAACAAGTGTAAAGATATTCATATGCTGAAAATATTATCTAATGAGAATCCCATGCAACCTGCGCCATGGATGCTAAATCATTACATGTAATATTTACCTATTTCTTGGGAAAATGTAAGTCAGGTTTCTGTTTCTCAATTGATATCTCTGCACGAAAACTATTAGGGATGTGCTCAGTCTTGACACTGCCTATTTTGCATAGCATATATTCCTGTACATATTGAGAGGATTAATGATAAAAATGAAGGGGAAACTTTTAGATCACAATTTGCCCAGTTAATTGAAGACTACATCTGACTAACACTCCCTTTCCATTGCAATAAAATGAACGTAGAGACCACTTTTGATTTTCCAGGTGCACACTAACCAATTTAAAAATAGCTGTGGTTCAAGCACAAAGAGGAACTGGGCTGATCTGTGGTCAGGTAGGAGCCTTGTAGTATTGGTTGTCTCTCCCTCTGACTGGAAGCTTGATGGTGTTCAGCAGGATAGAGGGGACAATAATGGAACTGAGCAGGGGCATGTAACTGGTCAACATATTGAGAACTTTCATTATAGCCAAGTAAAATTTATATTGCTCTATTTTTGATAATTTTTTGTTTTGTAATCCATTTACTCCAACAAAAAGCAAAGCCAATTCATTTGTTTTCTGCTTTTATAAAATAAGAACCTCATGGAGTTAGTTGTGAAACAAGATTCCACTTAGAGAAATATCCTCAGTAACAGGAATAGTAGACAATACCGTCTTTATTTCAGACTAGAAAAGTAAAGCTTCTAGTATAAAGAAATCCTGTTATTAGTTGCCAATAATTAGATTGTAGATTTGCACTTTGAGGTGATGGACATAGAAATAGATTATGGGAATGAGCAGCACCAGATATGACTAATGTAGAACTTTGTTCAGAATAATTCAATTATGTGAAAGAACATGCTTAGGGAACTATGTCTACCCTGCTACTTAGAGTCTGTGTAGACCTGAATGTCAAGGGATCCTTCCTGTCACGAGTCCAGAAATCCTAAATTCAGTAAATTCAAGCCAGCTGTTTCTTGATTATTCATTAGAAAACACTTAGTAGAAAATAAGCAAAGTTGAATGCTACAGGACTAGTCTTTAAGGAGTTTATTTGTCGGGAAATTACTCTCATCCCATAATTCTAACAATGAGTAATATTTTTCAAATTACATATTCTTTAAAAAATATTATTGATATTTTACAAAGGTAAATACCCTCTGCTCTTCACTATAATAATAACAATTTCCTAATGGCTCAAACTGTGTAAAAAGCAGTTAATGTTTTTGGAAATAAATAAATTTAGGTCACAGGGGTACTGAAGCCCAGATAAAGAAATAAAGGATCTTTATATTCACATAGGCAAAATTTGATTTTCTGCTGTGCCTTGTGTCTCTAAAATTTAGGCATTAACATTTTAAATTATATTGTGCTCATAAGAAGTAGGTTGTGTTCAATGATCAAATCATCAAAAATGATGAATGATCAAAAAATGATCCAAAAAGGAAAGATGTTTCATTTTATATGATACTATTGAAAGTAAACTGGTCTCTTCTCTCGCTGATGAAGGAATATGTACTACATCTACATTTATTTTACACAAAATCTAGAAAATCAATGAATTAAGATAATTACTCAAAATTCAGAACAACAAATACCTTTATTGAATCAAAATGATAATTTGAAGAAAGTACACTTTGCAGCTAGAATAATAGGTGAGTATCCCATGCTTTGAAATCAGAAGAAAGTTAGAAAATGAGTGTATATGTGTGTATATATGTGCATGCATTTTATATGAATGGTCTGGATTTATTGTGCCAATAATCACACTGAAAATAAAATGTGTTTTTATATGTTTATATGTAAAAATATTATCATTACAATAATATATTTTCTCTTCTATAATACCTGAGAATTTTCCCTTTTCTATTGTTTTCATATTTTTCTCAAAATAAATGCTAGAATACTGGATAATATTTTAGTACATAATACTGAAATTAGATAATTGATGACTTTTTATTTACACAAACGTATGAATTCAAGATACTCTAGGAATTTATAATTCTTTGAAAAACAAATAAAACTGCAATGAAAAGGTAAAAATTCTGAAAGTACTTTATTCTTCAATTCAGTTCAGGAATCCTGACTCTCAGATACAAAGGACATGCCTGAAATAGTCTACTCCCTGTGTAAATTTGCTGATTTGTAAGAGTTTTGCTTTTTATTCCTCGATACCAGCAGAAGATTCAAAAAGATTTTTATTTTTGTGATACTATTTATATCAATTAGGTATGGTTCCAAAAAGAATCATCACATTTACTACATAAGGCAGATAACTGAAAGTTTATCCTAGAGGCAAAATACTTTTTATTTCTACCCTCAAGCATATCCCTATAATTATCTATTCCTAGTCTTTTATTAGTACATGTTCTCCACACAAATAAAGCAGGTTAGTGATCTCTAATCCTGAAGGTCATTGTTTCCCAAATCCATAAAATTGAATTTACTCCTCGAATTTGCAGCCTTTATTTTATCACATTAGCAATAGAAGATCATTCACATAATCTCTAATAGTTTTCCACATTACTTTTTAAAAGTTAAAGAAAATGGTGATTATTTGAAAATTAAGGACTTAAATATGTTTGACATGTTGAAAGCCTTGTATCTTATGTATTTCTTCTGAAGCGTTTTGTCATTTAAAGCTAGCTTTAGGCTTAGGGATATTTATCCAGTGGCAACATGACGATAAACATGTCTCACTGCCCTCCTTGCCAACTCCCTATCCCTTTTATTGGTAAGACTCACGGTTTTGTTATGAAATATTCATGTTTGGAATTTCAGGCTGCTCCATCCTGTCAAGTGGATGACAGTCGCCTGGAAGGCAGCTGTGCATGTAAATTAATCAACCTTACTTATCTGCCCAAATATATCTTCTGTTTCTTAGGGATTGAAAAAAATACCTAGCCATTTCCAAAGCACTGTGCAATGAATGTAGACTTGGGAGATTTTTGTAGATTTGACTGTTTTCTTCTCCAATATACCTGGACAGTTGCCATTATTATCTTCTTGAACACTTTGCAAAGCCATTTATGAATAAACAGAAGTGCTGCAATTGGCCTTTCTCACAAAAATTTTGTGTGGGTTCATTCAGTTGCTCAGGACACAAAGACACACAGTGTACTTCATTAGTGTCCTTGCATTGTACTCTGGTTCTCAAACTGATCCTTAGAAAGGTTGTAGCAAAATAACCTTATAAATCAGAACTTTTGGACTGAGGCCAAGGACACTATTTTGCACATGCATTTTCACTGAACAGCTTGGAGTCCAGATACCTTAACTAACATCTTTACAATCTGGCTCTAACAGATATTCTACTGCTCCTGTTTGATCACGTTAGGTACACTGAAATGTTCATGTATTTTGGCATGCATACTCTCCAGTTCCTCCATGCACTTGTGGTTTTCTCTGCCTAGTCTACCATTGCCCTTTTATGTTTAAAAAACTCTTGATCATTATTTTTTTCATAAGAAGCATGCTTAGATATACCTTTTATTTACATATGTATATTAAATTTTTAGGCATATATAACAGTTGTACATTCTTATGGAATACATGTGATATTTTGATAATCATATAATGCATGATGATCAAATCAGGGTAATTGGGATATTCATCACCTCAAACATTTACGTTTTTTCTGGTGTTGGTAACATTCCAAATCCACTGTAGTTATTTTGAAATATACAATACACTATTGCTAACTATAGTTGTCCTATTCTGCTATAGAATATTAGTTCATATTCCTTCTAACTGTGCATGTCCATTAACCAACTTCTATTTATCCCCTTCTCCCCCAGTACCCTTCCCACCCTCTGATAACCATCATTCTATTCTCTACCTTCATGAGATCAATATTTTGAGCTCCTGCGTATGAGCAAGAATATGCAATATTTGTCTTAATGTGCCTGATTTATTTCACTTAACCTAATGTCCTCTAGTTCCATCCGTATTGCTGTAGAAGACAGAGTTCTATTTTTTTTTTATGGCCGAATAACGTCCCATTGTGTATATATGCCACAATTTATCTGTTCAGCTGGGTTCATGGAAGTTTGGTTGATTCCATATCTTAGCTATTGTGAATAGTGCAGCAGTAAACATGGGAGTGCAAATATCTCTTTGATATACCAATTTCCTTTCTTTTGGATATATACTCAGCAATGAGATTGCTTGATTGAACAGCAGTTCTGTTTTTAGTTTTTTGAGAAATCTCCATACTGTTTTCCATAGTACCTATACTAATTTACAATCCCACCAACAGTGTCCAAATGTTCCTCTTTCTCCACTTTCTCCCCAGCATTCATTATTATTTATCTTTTTGGTAGAAGTCATTTTAATGGGTAGTATGATATCTCACTTTGTTTGCATTTCTGTAATGATTAGTGATGTTGAGCATTTTTCATATAACTATTGGCCATTTGTATGTCTTCTTTTAAGAAATGTCTATTCAGATTTTGGCCCATTTTAAAATCAGATGATTATTATAATTATTTTGCTATTAAGTTATTTGAGTTATTTATTTGTTCTGATTATTAACCTTTTGTCACTTAAATTGTTTGAAAATATTTTCTCCCATTCTGTAGTTTAGTCTCTTCCCTTTGTTGATTGTTTCCTTTGCTGTGCAGAAGCTTTTAAACTTGATGTGACCCCATTTGTCCATTTTTCCTTCAGTTATCTCTGCTCTTCAGGTCTTACTCAAGAAATTTTCTCCCAGAGCAATGTCTTGAAGTATTTTCTCAATGTTGTATTCCAGTAGTTTCATAGATTCAGGTCTTAAATGTATGTATTTAATCTATTTTGACTTAGTTTTTCTACATGGTGAGAGATAGAGACCTAATTTCATTCTTTGGCATATGGATAACCAGTTTTCCCAGCACCATTTGTTGAAGAGACTATCTTTTCCCCAGTGTATGTTATTGGCACCTTTGTGAGATATCAGTTGACTGTAAATGTGTGAATTCATGTCTAGGTTCTGTGTGTCTGTGTGTGTATGTGTGTGTTTTAATGCTATTAACATGTTGCTTTGGTTACTATAGCTTTGTAGTATAATTTGAAGTCAGGTAATGTGATACTTCCAGCTTTAGTTTTTTTTTTTTGCTCAGGATTTATTTGACTCTTCTGGGTCTTTTATGGTTTCACATAAATTTTAGTGTTGCTTTTTCTATTTCTGTGAAGAATGTCATTGATATTTTGACAGAGATTGCATTGAATCTGTTGATAACATTGAGTAGTATGAACATTTTAACAATGATGACTCTTTCAATCCATGAACACAAGATACAGATATCTTTCTGATTTTGTGTTCTCTCTCATGTATTTCATTAATGTTTAATCTTTCACTTTATTGGCTGTTTAATTCTAGGTATTTTATTTTATTTTAGCCACTGTAAATGGGATTCCTTTCTTGGTTTCTTTTTCAGATTGTTTGCTGTTGACATAGAAATACTACTGAGTTTTGCATGTTGATTTTGTAACCTACAACTTTACTAAATTTATTTATCAGTTCTAATTTTTTTGTGTGGAGTCTTTAGGTTTTTCTCAATAAAAGATTATATAATCTGCAAATAAAGATAGCTTGACTTCTTCCTTTCCAATTTGGATTTCCTTTCTTTCTTTCTCTTATCTAATTGCTCTAGCTAAGACTTCCAGTACTATGTTGAATAACAATGGTGAAAGGGGCATCCTTCTTATGTTTCAGATTGTAGAGAAAAATATTTCACTTTCTTCCCCATTCAGTATGATACTAGCTGTGGATCTGTCATATATGGCCTTTATCATGTTGAGATATGTTCCTTCTGTACCCAATTTGTTGAGAGTTTTTATCATGAAGGGATGTTGAATTTTACCAAGTTCAAATACTATTTTTTTCAAGCAGAGTCTGTAACTCTATCTTCTATGCACCTACAACTAGTTGTATCTTTCGGGCATTAATTTTTTTTTTTTTTTGCTTCAGCATACAGTTAAGTATTTGCTAATCTAATATGCTCTTGGATTTTGAATTCTGAAGTACAAGAGTTATATCTTTCTTTTAAACCTTGCTATTACTGGATTGATTTTCTAATGGTATTTATTCTATTTGCAACAATCTGACAAGTTCAAATTTTGAAAATGATTTTTAAAATATAGAAATTGTGAATGCTTTCCATAATGTAAGTGTCCAGTGTTCTTACATTGATACTTACAGTGTAAGGTTACCTTAGACACTTACTTTTTCATATATATATACACAAATATATATACACACACATATATACATATATACATACATATACTTATATGTTTTATATGTATGTGTGTACATAATATAGATACATATGTATATCTATATGTATATATGTATACACATATGTATACATATATACGTATGTATATATGTATCTATATTATATACACCTTTGTATATATGTATATATGTATCTATATTATATACACCTATGTATGTATGTATCTACACACATATGTATATATGTATCTATATTATATACACCTTTTAATTTGGAGTACTTTTAAAGAGCTTCCCAAAATTTTATCTATAGCAAATCACGAGTTCATAAATTTGAGCTTCATTCATTAAATGAGTTGAACAAAAAATATCCCTTTGTAGCCTTGAAATACTCGTCAGTTAATTGTTGTCATGAGGTTCAGTTTGCAAAAGTTATTTTGAAGAAATATATAGATATCTTCAAAATTTGTTTAAGTGGTTGTTTTCTATTAATGAACCGTAAAAGGAGCCATAAGAGATCACCTTTCATTACCTTGTCTCTAGTTTGACCCAAACCATTTATTTTTTATGAGTCTTTAGAGAAGAAGAGCCTATAGCCTGAATCATTTCAGTGATTAACAATGTTCACTACCAAGACAGTTTTATTTGTTTTTAATCTAAGTTACTAAAAGTAGGTCTATTTCCTTTTGTCTTGTCTTCAGAAAAGATGGAAAACAGCAGGTTACCATCCTCTGCAGAGAAACCACTCATATATTTGAAGACCATCAATAAGCCATCCTCCTCCAGGCTAAACAATCTCTGTCCCTTTAGCCTCTAAAATTGCTCTTGTAGTCCAACATGTTAATCATCTTTGTAGCTCTTCTCTGAACATTATCCTACTCCTATAAGTTGTAGATTGCATAATGCTTTTCTAGGTGAGGATTCAGTACATTTTGTTTTGATTGATTACAAAAAAGAACATTTTTTTAATAGGCAATTTAGTAGAGCTTTACAGTCACATATTTTTCAGAACATTCCCTACTGAAAACTCTTCTATGTGCTCCAAATATGGTTAATATAATGAATTAAATGTGCAAGAGAGAATATCCTATGGCTACTTTTATTACAATTTAAGTATGTAAATTTAGCCACTTAATTATACATCAGAGTACTTTAAATGGATCACTATGACTGAACTCCAGCAACCCAAAATAGAGCCTGGCTGCATTGAGTTTAACTGCTATAATCAACCTGAATTTACAAATCCATAGAAATTTGGTATAATACATATAATGGAGAAAGATGATAAACTGACCCTGAATGGGTCATTATTTTAGAAATGATGTTGCACTATTGTGGTTCTAAACCTATCAATCCCATTTTCTTTTTAGTTGCCCCTGGTGACCAGTCATCTCCATTATGTAGCTATGGCTCGCAGGTAACCTATGGCCAAGAAAAGATAGTAACTATACACATGGAAGCTAATAGGGCCCCCATTTAGTACAGGGATTGTAACCATTAGAAATTCTCCTTTATATAAAGATATGTAACCCTTTTGGTTTTAACCTTTTCCTTTTACACTATTTATCCATACTAGTAGTAGACTAGAAAACTTAAATGCAAATAAATGCTGAAGAGAAGTTGAAATAATATTGAAATTTTTAGAAATTTTAGTCATTCCAAGGAGATGTTACTTGTATTATTTCTAGTCCTTCTCTATTCCTGATACAACATGGGTATTCTAAGCAGTAGATCCTTCTTTAGTGTTAATAGCATGCTCCAAATTATATGGAAAATATAAGGCCTCATCTTTCCACTGCCCATACTTGCCCCCAAGTACAGTGATATTATGAGTAAAGGCCAAGGATATGTATCTAAGAGTGAAAATTTAGGTTAATAAGGAAATTTGGATTTGTGTCTGTTGGATTGTGTGTGTTAGTGTATGTTCTTTTTTTAGGCCATCTTTTTGTACTTATTTTCTCCATTAGAATTGCATTAGCTGGGCTGCTACAACAAGCTAAGCCTGGGTATTTGTACTGCTAGGAAGAAAATGTGTGCCATCAACAGTTTAATTAGGCAACTGGATGGAAAAGAGGAAAAGAATCATTTCCCAGACCTCTTAGAAATGTTTTGTTGAGGGAAAAAGCAGTCAATATAGATATATTGATATACTAATAAAGATACAAATATACTTATTAATCCATCAATCAGTCTATCTATTTATCTATCTATTTTCTGAGCTATCACAAGGAATTGGTTTACATGATTGTGGGGAAGTAATTTGAATCCACAGGGCAAGAAGTCAGGAAGTGAAGATCACAAGCAGACTGAAACTCTGAAGCTTCATGATGAAGCTGTTGTCACAGGTAATGAGGAAGGGAAGGTTCTATAAAGGAAAAACAAAGTGTAGACCAAAAATATCAGAGCATGGCTAAGGACAGTGCCTAAGTCTTTTTAAAAAGGCTTCCACTGATTAGGTCAGGCTCATGAGGATAGACCCTGTACTTTATTTAATTACAATTTTAATTACATCAGCAAAATACCTTCACAGCCAGCACTTAAGTTAGCATTTGATTGAAAGACTGGAAGAAGATGTATGTATGCTACAAAATGGCTGCTGTAGTTCCTTCTGCCCTCATATTTTATGTTGCCAATTTGACACCTTAAAAAAGTCATCATAGACAGGTCTGGATGTTTTTCCCAGACATTTTTCTCAGTGGGCGTCTATCAGGGATTCCTCTGATCATTGCAGTTGTGAGAACAGAATTCAGAGGTCTGAATCGTGATCTTTTGCAGGCAAGTCTGTAGATCAAACTATTATACCTAGATGCTAAATTAAAAACAAAATGAAAAGCAAAAAATCCCTCAAAAATCGATGATGGCATAAAATTTGAGAACTAGAAGAAATCGTATACATTACTGTGCTTATTTTCTCATTGTTATAGTGCTAGTTAGTAACAGAGTCACATCGAATGGCCTAATCATATCATATCTTAATAACACTTAAAGACACTACTCCATGATAGTTACCTGTGGAAACCAAGGAAAAGGGAGGCTAAATAACTTCCCAAGTTACTGTTAGTAAGGGAGGTAGGATTCAACATAGATGGCCTAATTTCCAAGGCTGTTTTTAACCTGCGTGCTCTACTACATATCCCAGACTAGAATACACATATCACAACTGCTGGCCACATAGTGTATTTTTTTCTAGTAGTTTCTCATTTAGTATGGAAAAATCATCTCAAATTACTTTTATCATTTGGCAGGTAGGAAAATCCATTATCTAATGGCTTTTTTTCTTTAATTCTAATTCTTCCCTTTTTTAACTCCATTCTTTCTCTCCTAAGAAAAATATCTAAAATATATTTCTGTGTTTTGACTTGTACCCATTTATTAGTTTCCATTTCTTTTCTCTTTCTGTGACTTCAATAGATGAATTTTATCAAAAGGTTGTTCAGATATTCAAGAGTCCCCTTCTTATTTTCACTAGCTTTTTAAACTATAAGCTTAGCAAGATTTCAAGCTTATAATAGCTATTCTTTTTGAATATCTGAAGTCTAGAATTTTAGTTTAACATTTATTTTTCCTAAATCACACACATTTAAAGATCTTTAGATGTGGCATGTACAAAAGATTAATCACAAGTCTAACATGAATCTGGAAAGCTGTTATTTCCTAGGGCAATATGGAATTACAAACCTGTTATTCCTTATAGTTTTTTTCTGTAGATATGATTCTGGTAGGTTGTACTAACTGCAAATGACTTTCATCCAACAGCAGGTTTGAAATGACTTATTTTCATACAAAAATAAAACCATATTAAAAAATCAAAAGCACTAAACAACAAAAATGAATAATCAAAGACTCTAAAGTAAAGATCATACACATGCCAAAAAAAATCACACACTTTTCATAGCTATATTGGGGCTTAATTTATGTACCATAAAACTCACCTGTTTAAAGTGTACAATTCATTATTTTCTTAGAATATTTAGAGAGTAAAAAATAAAACTTTCTTTGGAGGAATAACTATTCAAATCCTTTCCATTTTTAAATTGTGTGATGTGACTTTTTGTAATTTAGTTGTAAGCATTCTTTATGTATTCTAGGTACAAATCCCTTACCAAATATATGATTTGTAAATGTCTTCTCCCATTCTATGGGTGGTCTTTTTACTTAATGATGTTCTTCAAAGCACAAGGGATATATGTCATATTTTAAAAATCACCAATTTCTTTAAATAGTTACATGAATCTAAACAATTAACTGGTTAATTGGAGGAAGAAGTATTCTGGTTCCACTTCTAATATCATATAACATAAATTAGAGCAAGTAGATAACATGGTATTTAATGGCTGTACCTTGGTCAAGGATCATTGAAATGACTGGCTTAGTATTCTAAAATATTTGCAGTGAGTGTTTATATCTACTTTTATGCATTCTTTTTTTCTTTTCAGTTAATACTCTTGGATAATGTATTTAAGGATGCTTAAGGTAAGCCATTTGAATTTTATCTGAGTCTTAGTTTATAGATGCAATAAGATTCTGCCTACTGAATTTTCTCTTCTTCTGAGATTTGGTTAGCCCGTTTTCTAGCAAGCTAGGACAAATTTCTGTAATTAGTATTATAAATATTTATAAAAGACTACAGTAGACACAATTTAGCTTTTTGAATTTTGCATAAATGCTACCTTATTCACTATGTCGAGTATTTCCCTTACAAATTAATTTTTATACTAGTGCATTCAAAAACAATGTCTTGAGAGATTTCCCACATCTATTGAACTAGAGATGACAAACTGCAATTGAAATAAAATACAAACATTTTCCAAATGTCAACATTTGTTTACATTTTACATAGGTTTCTAGGAGTCTTATCATAAACTATTATAAATAAAGGTGGTGCAATCTAGTACATTGTTTTTTCCTGCTCTAGTTGACGTACTCATTCAATTTTCTAGAAACACCCGTAACTTTAGATCTATATATCACAAGTTAATCATCTTGATATGTAATTACTTTTATGATTAGTTTATGATTTTATTTGAGCCCTTTGTGTGAAGATAGTGAAAGCTTTTTATCTTACACTGATTTTATACCATCTTCAACTTTGTAAGAAGCCTTTTAATCAGAAAGGCTAAGAAATTAGTCAACAGCATTTATTTGATAATATAGTTTTAAAAAGGTAGAAATATTACAGGTTTGATATTCTTTTCCAGGTTATAAAAATTATGTATGAGTTTTCATAATGTTAACAGTGGAGGTGATGGGAATAAATATGAATTGGGTAATTTTCTACTTGGAGGAAACCAAGGCAACATAAATAATCTTTAAGTGATTTAGTTATGTAAAATTACTTATTGGTCTTTTGAATGACTCTATTCTTGTTCATTTAACTAGGTTGTATCACACAGAATCATTCATTGTAAAATAAATTATAAATTGTGCTTCTAAAAATATTGCGATATTCTCATCATGATTTGTCATTCTTCTAGCAACAATGTTAAAGTGATTGATGCATTCTAAAGAACTGCAAAACAGAAACAAAATAAAATAAGAAAGTTTGAAAGTGTAAGATTTTATAAGTTCATAGCAGACACACCATAGATGAAGTTAGGGATGTTAACAAAATTCTGTATAACAAGCAAGAGTGCTGAAGAAATAAATAGGTTGCAGCTTCATATGAAGCTCTTCTCCTTCTCAAGAGAAAACTGCTTTTTTACATGAAGTCTCTAATAACATAATGTGGTTTGAATCCTTGTCCATAAAGTATGTTGTGCATTTCTTTTTATTGTCGTGGGCCCAGCCCCTGCTGGGACAAGTCAGCTGTGAGAGATTGAAATTCTCTCCTTCACTTCAGCTGCAGCTGCCAAGACTCTGCCTCCCAGGCCTGTATTCACCAAAACAGTGATTACCTTGGACACTTGCTAAATCGTGGAAACCTCATTTGCACCTAAATACAGTCTATGTACATGAATAATAATTGCTTGTCTTTCGGGTGGAATTACGTAAACATACAGAGAAGCTACATACTTGGACATATTTATGACAGCTTGGCCAAGAGTTTTCAAAAATCATTACATCAGGCTAATTAATCTTTTGAATTTTGCACAAGGAAGTCTGTTCACATTAACCAATGCCAACCTTTCCTTCTCCCCATCTCCTGCTGTTCCACATCTGAAACCAAACTGCCTTGCCCAACCAATTTCATTGAACATAGCCTTAATAGACAACATTTACTGAGAATTTGACAAGCATGGGACTCTAAACTAAGGACTTTATATGTGGGAAGAATATTTTGTAAAATATTGGAGAGATAGTCATGGCACAATAATTTAAAACAGCATGAATTATGTATTCAGATATACCCAAATTCAATTCTTGGCTACGTCTCATGCTAACTTGGACTTAAACTTTCTGTTTCAGTTTCTGCATATTGGAATTAAGGGGGGTAATTATAACTTGGAAATTTTTTGAGAGACTTCTCCCAGGACATGGAGCCAGTCACTTGAGGAATCAACATAAAAACCAAGGACTCAAGTCCCTGTTCTTATCAATAAGTTTTATTGTCACCATTAATTTTTGATAGCTCTTCCACTTTTAACAAGGTTGTTGAGACCCTTCAAGGTATTGAAAAATATTGCTCTATTTATGGCTTATCAGAAATAGGAAAAATATGACATTATTTTATATTTCTGAACAATTTAAATTCATACCATGCATTTTAAGTTTTGAAAACTCTCCTACAGTATTTCCCACAGCTCATCCACTCCTGTCTTTCCAAGTACTTTTCTTAACTCAGCTCTGATAAATAATTTTGTACAGTGTGCAGGGTTGTGCATGGGTACAGTGTGCAGGGTTGTGCATGGGCGGCAGGGAGTCATGGCATATGTATGAGGAAGGAGTTGCAGAACTGAATACAAGTAGTGGGTTTGAAGAAATAAAAAACTTGATTCCATTTTCTAACTTCTCATTTTGTCACATGTGTTCTGTGACTATGAAAGTGGTGTGTTTCTCAGTATGGATGACTATCACTCATAAACTGGAAACTTTTGGTTCTAATTGTTTCTTTTAACACCAGTATAGAATATGGCAAGGAAATATTAAGGAGAGTGAAGGAGAAAAGATAAAGACTGTTTTTGATGTTATTAAAATCTAAGTAATAACCATAAAGGGTTACATAAATGAACATAAATCTACAGGCCATTAGAATGAATTTGCTGTTAGTTTTATTTTATGAAGAGCTTGGGGTGAACCCTTGAGCTCTCGTCATTATGTGGATTTTATCCCAAAGTATCCTATGGGCTGGATTAGAGGAAACACAATAAGATTTATAAAATGTTATTTTTAACTCTCTTTATTGGCACTTTGTGCATGCACATACAAATGTAACTTTACAGCACCCCTGCATTGTGCATGATAACCTGAAGATGCTGAAGAAACAGAAACTCAGATTTCATTGGATTAACACTTATTTTTACCCAGTGGAGTGCAGGTCAAAGGCACTCCATAAACTGAATTTGTAACTCTAGGAAGCAATGTTCTGAACCAGAAAGCAGGAAAGAGTATTAATCAAAAGTGAAAAGGTTCTGCTGAAAGCGGAACAGTCTTGGAAAATGATTTTAAAGATCACTTGCCATGCACACAATTATTTTGTATTTGCAGTTCATGCCAAGAGTTTAAAGAAAACTGATGGGAAATTTCATTATTCAAGTATGCACTGTATGTACAATGTAATCCCAGTCACTCACTGGGGCAAGGCAAAAGTGACATTAAGACAGAATATTTTAAAAATCTAATTGTTCCGTACTATACAAAGTGAGCTTTCATTGCAAATAATTATTCCTATTATGAGGTCTACAGAGGCATAATATTGTTAAAATGAGAATAGTTTCTGAACCATATAGACTTTTATGGATATTTAAAAAATACGTCTCTAAAGTGTTGAATAACTGGCAGTGTTATTCCTTATTTTCATTTTTTAATGTATTTTACCAGTTCAGGAAGGATGTAGTTCAATAAAAATTCCCATTACAATCTGAAACTTCCTCTCCATTTTCATAATAGTAACTGGGGACACTGCTTCAAACATAGTTAAGCCTTTTAAAGGTGTTGAAGAGACAGCTTTTGTCATTTTTAAAAGATACGTATTTCTTAAAGAAGGGATAAGGTTGATAGACTTAATATGATAAGAGATTCTGTCTTACAGAAAAATAAAATCAACTCAAAGAGATGTTTTTTCTCTTTCCCTTACATGCCAAAGTAGTGGACTACTTTCTTGTCCCAGGGTTTTCTATATAAGCTCAAGAACATACATCCCATAATATCTGTTAAATAAAAAAAAGATTAACCTTTTATTAAAAAGATAATAATAGAATTAAGTGAAACCATTTACTACATTGAAGGGATTGATGTTTTGTTGAAATAACTGGTTAAACTAAAATATTTTGTCCATTGTCTCATTTTTATTCTAATTCCAGTCACAGATTTACTTGTTTATCTGACAAAAGATAGTGCTATTGTGGAGAATTACGAAATAAGTATAAATCTTCATAGTATAGGTAAACTACACTTTCAAAAAATAATCCTGTAGAGGAAAGAGGCAGTATCTTTTAAGACTCACCATCAGTTCCAGTCTTTGACCTTTGAACTTTTCCTGTTTCACTTTCATTGGACTAACTCTGTATGATTCCAAAGTTCATTCTCTGAGGTGGAAGTTATAATGACAGTTCTACAAAGCTTTTATTTTTTCCTCACCCAGATTACCATTCTATCTTAGGAATTTAAGCAAACTATACAGTAAATACAAGATACCATGTAATAAAGTTAGTACATGTCTTCGATGAGTTTTACCTAAGTTGCATCACTTTTTTTGTGGTTACCTTATTATTGTTCTGAAAAAATTATCTTCATTTCTCTACGTAATATATAGAAAATAACTTTACATTAATGCACAGACCACTAACATATATTAAAATCTCAATGAAATTAGTGTCATTTTATCCTTGTTTCCTGAGCTATTTAATTGGTTGTTACTTTTGTTTCCTACAGTGTATCCTTTGTTTTAATATGCTTTTTAATTCAGTCATCAAATATTTATTAACTGCCAACTATACTATGGCAATATATTTTGTTCAACAAATGCTTCTTGAATGCCTAGTGTGTGAAAGGAATTATACTGTGAAATTCGGGTATAAAAACATATGCTCTTGATGGTCTTATCCTCCAAATGCTTATAAAGAGCTAAGTAATAAGCCAAATGCTATTCAAAATTAAAAGTCATTGTGTAATTTTAAGACCTTCAATACAATCACCAAGGAAATATTATGAGACAAACTCCAATAGCTCATTTTATGCACATTACTCATTTTGATAATTAAACTGATAGCACTTAGAATATAGTTATGTTATATCTTGCTTTAAGTTGGATAAATTAAAATATTTTTTCTAATGCAATTGTACCTGATTTTGTGAAATATTTTAATTCCTAACAGCCTTATAGGCATATCTCACTTTATTGTGCTTCAGTTGATTGTACCTTCTAGAGTCTATGTTTTTACAAATTGAAGGTTTGTAGCAATCTGTATCCAGCATGTCTATTGGTGCCATTTTCCAACAGCATATGCCCTCTTTTGTCTCTGCATCACATTTGTTAATTATTGCAATAGTTGAAACATTATTAGTATTATTATTATATCTGTTATGGTGATCTGTAATCCATGATCTTTCACGTTACTGTTGTAATTGCTTCTGTACGCCATAAACTGCATCTGCATAAGATGGCAAACTTAATACGTTTTGTGTGTTCTGACTGCTCCATTGACTTGCTATTTTCCCATCTTGCCCCTTCTCCTTGAAGGAGAGGCTCTTTATTTCCTGAAACATAGCAATATTGAAATTGGGACAATTAATAACACCACAACAACCTCAAAGTCTTCAACTGAAAGAAAGAGTTGCACATCTTTAATTTTAATCAAAAGCTAGAAATGATTAAGCTTAGTGGGGAAGTCATGTCGTAAGTCAGGACAGGCTGAAAGCTGGGCTTCTTGTGCCATTTAACCAAGTTGTGATGCAAAGGAAAAATTTGTGAAGTAGGTTAAAAGTGCTACTCTAGTGAAAACATTAATCATAAGAATGCAAAGCAGCCGTACTGCTGAAATGGGACAAAATTTGAGTAGTCCAAATAGAAGATCAAACCAGTCACAAAATGTCTTCAAGCCAAAGCCTAATCCAGAGCAAGATCCTAATTCTCTTGAATTCTGTGAAGGCTGAGAGAGGTGATGAAGCTGCAGAAAAAAGTTTGAAGCTAGCACAGGTTGCTTCATGAGGGTTAAGAAAAGAAGCCATCTCCATAACATAAAAGTGCAAAGTGAAGTAGCAGCTGCTGATACAGTGGCTACAAGTTATCCAGAAGATCTAGCTAAGATAACTGATGAAGGTGGCTACACTAAAAAACAGATTGTCAATGTAGATGAAACATTCTTCCATTGGAAGAAGATGCCACCTAGGACTTTGATAGTGAGAGAGAAGTGAATGCCTGGCATCAAAGCTTTAAAGGACAGACTGACTCTTGTTAGGAACAAATGCAGCTGGTGACTTTAAGTTGAAGCCAGTGGTCATTTACCATTCTGATGATGTTAGGGCTGCTAAGAATTAGGCTAAATCTACTCTGCCTGTGTTCTATAAGTGGAACAATAAAGCCTGAGTCACACCATATTTGTTTACAGCATGGTTTACTGAAATATTTTAAGCCCACTGTTGAGACTTACTACTCAGGAAAAGAAAGATTTCTTTTAAAATATTACTGCCCATTGACAATGCACATCCTCACCCAAGACTGATGGAGATGTACAAGGTAGTTAATATTACTTTCATGCCTGCTAAGGCATCTTTCATTCTGCAGCCCTTGGGTCAAGGAATAAATTTCACTTTCAAGTCTTATTATTTAAGAAATATATTTCGTAAGACTACAGTTGATGGATCTAGGCAAAGTAAATCAAAAAACCTTCTCGAAAGGATTCATTCTTCTACATACCACTAAGAACATTCATGATTCATGAGAGGAGGTCAAAATATCAACACTAATAGAGATTTGGAAGAAGTAGATTCGAAGCCTCATAGATGCATTTGTGGAATTCAGTACATCAGTGGAGGAAGTAACTGTATGTGGTGGAAATAGTAAGACAACGATAATTATAAGTAGAGCCTAAAGAAGAGGCTGAATAGCTGCAATCTTAGAGTAAAACTTGAATGATGAGGAGTTGCTTCTTAGAGATGAGCAAAGAAAGTGGTTTCTTGAGTTGGAATACACTCAGTGGATATGTTGTGAACATTGTTGGAATAAAGACAAAGGATTTAAAATATTATGCAAACTTAGTTGATAAAGCAGTGGCAGTTTGATAAGAGTGACTCCCATTTTGAAAAATGAAATTGTGTGGGTAAAATGGCATAAACCAGTATTACAACTTACAGAAAAATATTTTGTGAAAGGAAAAGTCAATTGATATAGCAAACTTCATTGTTGTCTTGTTTTCAGAAATTGCAACAGCCAGTTCAACCTTCAGCAACCACCATACTGATCAGTAGTCATCAACATTGAGACGAGACTGTACACCAGCAAAAAGATCCCAACTCAATGAAGGCTCAGATGATTTTAGCATTTTTTTAGCAATAAAGCATTTTTAAATTAAACTATATACATTGTTGTTTTAGACAAGTTTTTGCACATTCAGAATACAGTAAAGTGTAAACATGACTTTTATATACACTGGGGAAACCAAAAAATTTGTGTGACTTACTTTATTGCAATATTTGTTTTATTGTGCTGATCTGGAGCTAAATATATCTGAGATATGCTTGTACTGATGATTATTTTAACACCAAGATATTTTAAAATTCATTAAATAAATGTTTATTTAAATAGACCTCTAGCATACATTTACTGGTAACTAAAGGCTTTGTTAACAAAGGGAAATACTAAATTATTAAGGTTTTGCATGACTTTGAAAATTTCTATATTGAATTATAAATACTATGGAATTATAGCCTTTTTTTTGTTTTTTAAATCAAAGATTTAAATTTTTCTCAAATGCATCTTTATGATTGAAGTCTGCTTATCATTAACATTTGATATCAGAAGCACTAATTCTTTGTTGTAGCCTTGTTTCATCAAAAGCTGATCAACTATGTCTGTATGAGTCTGTCAGAGAGCTGAAAAAGTAATCAAAGGTCAAGATGGAAGCTGCAGCTACATACAGGATCCCTGTGCCAGATCATGAGAGCTGAGAGTTACGACACAGATAGTTCTGGGTGAAAAGCTTACTAGTAATAGAGTATAATATGTTTTAATTTAAAAACAATTTACTATATTTAATTCAAACTAAAATCATAAAATCATTAGAATAAACTATAGGGATAAATTTTAATGACCTTGGCAACAAAAGAAAAAGTAAAAAAAAAAATGGGCTTCACAAATATTAAAAACTTTAGTGCATCAAAGGACATTATCAAGAAATTGAAAGGCTCTCTGGAAGAATGGGAGAAGATATTTGCAAATCATATGTTTGGTGGGGGAACAGGATCCATAATATATAAAGAATTCCTACAACTCAGCAACAAAAAGACAAACAACCCAGTTAAAAAGTTGGCAGAGGACTTGAATAGATATTTCTCTAGAAAATATACAAATAGCCAACAAGCACATGAAAACATATTCAAAATCATTAATCATAAGGTAAATACAAATCAAAACCACAATGAAATACCAGTTCAAACCTATTAATATAGTAATAATAATAATAATAGGCTGGGTGCGGTAGCTCATGCCTGTAATCCCAGCACTTTGGGAGGCCAAGGCAGGTGGATCACCTGAGGTCAGGAGTTCCAGACCAGCCTACCAACATGGTGAAACCTTGTCTCTACTAAAAATACCAAAATTAGCCGGGCGTGGTGGTAGGCCTCCCAGCTACTCGGGAGGCTGAGGCAGGAGAATTGCTTGAACTCAGGAGGCAGAGATTGGAGTGAGCTGAGATCGCACCGTTGCACTCCAGCCTGGGCAACACAGCAAGACTCCTTCTCAAAACAAAACAAAACAATAATAAGAATACTAATAATCAGAAAAATAACAAATGTTGGTGAGGATATGGAGAAATGGCTGATAGGAAGGTAAAATGGCACAGCCACTGGGACAAACAGTGTGTGGTCTTCAAAAAGCTTGTTATGGACTTGATGTGTCTACCCACGTCCACTGCCAAGTTCACACTCACTGTGATGGTATTTGGAGGTAGGGCCTTTGGGAGGTCATTAGGCTAGGAGGGTAAAGCCCTCATTAATGGGATTAGTGCCCTTATCAAAGAGACCCCAGGGAAGCCCCTTACCATGTGAGGGCACAGTGCAAAGACAGCAATCTACAAATCAGGAAGTGGTGTCTCACCAGGTACCTAATCTACCAGAGCCTTGATCTTGGACTTCACAGACTCTAGAACTGTAAGAAATAAATGTTTGTTTTTTAGGCCATCCAGTTTATGGTATTTTTGTTACAGTAGTCAGAACTAAGACAAAGCTAAACAGAATGACCATGTGACACAGCAATTCCACTACCAGGTGTAATGCCCACTGTAATTGAAAACAGGGACTCAAACAGACACTTTTATACTAATGTTTTTGCAGAATTATTCACAATAGTCAAAAGGTGAAAATAGCCCAGTGTCTATCAACAGATTAACGCATAAACAAAATGTAGTATGTATACACATACAATGAAATATTATTCAACCATAAAAAGGATTGAAGTTCTGATACATGCTACGATATAGGTGGATCTTGAAGTCATTATGTTAAGTGAAATAAGCTGGGCACAATAGGACAATATTGTGTGATCCCACTTAAATGAAATATCTAGAGTAGGTAGAACTAAAGACAGAAAGTAAGTTAGAGGTTACCAGGTTTAGGGAGGAGGTGGGGAACAAGGAATAATTGCTTAATGGTTACAGAGTTTCTGTTACAGGTGATGAAAACATTTTGGAAATAGATAGTGGTGGTGGTTGAATAACACTGTGAATGTAATTAATACCACCAAATTGTATGCTTAAAATTTTTTTAATTGGCATTTTACATTATATAAAACCACAATAAAACATGTTTTAAAGCATTTTATACTTAGTTCATTTTAACTAACTTTGTATATCTTTATATAAAAAACTTTATATCTACTCGAGTAAATATAATTCTACAAGAAAATTGAAGAATATATTATTTATATTTTCCAAGCAGTACTAAATATGTCAAGAAATTTTATTTAGTGCTACACGTTTCTAGGCACTGATTTAAGAACTTTACCATTCTTAACTATTTCCTACTCATAAGAACCCTATGAAAGAGTAATTATTATTACTTTAGCCATTTTACAGATGAGGAAACTGAGAGGTAGAGGGTTAAGTAACGTGTTCCAGGTGCAGTAAGCAGCAGGTGGTCAAGCTGAGCAGCATCTTCAGTCTGCTTCCAGAGTTTCTGCTCCTAACCACGAAGTTTGGCCATTTTGACATTTTGCATTTAAATTACTTGAAATTTAATGATCACACTGAAGCCAGGGAATGCCCATGTACAAGTGGAAGAATTCTTTCAATTCTTTCAAGAAAAGTTTATTATGCTGTCTACAAGTTCCCCTGGAACTGATTTAATTGTTGCTGCTACTAGTCATTATTAAAACTTGGCAAGCGGTTATCAGTACTTTTGCATTCAAACTATACATGTCATGTCTCGTTTTCAATGTGCCACCTGAAAATTGCGCTTTAGTCAGTTCAGTTCTCAGAGTTGGATGCCAAAAGGTCAGTTAAAACATGGAATGTATTAGGGAAAGAGCCTTTTCCTCTCCTTTATGAACCCTCTGTCACAGCAGTCTGTTATCTCTACAGTGACCGGAGAATGGATGAAATTTGTTGGAAATGAGATCCACACTGTATCTCATTCATCTCTGTGTCCGCAGCACAAGGTACAGTGCTTAGCATGTGGTAAGGGCTAAAAACACTTTTGTTACATGAATGAAGAAAGGAATGGCACAAACAGAGCTGAGTAATTTTCTAAAGACCTTCTAAGGTGTCCCAATTCATGGTGTAACATCACAGGAAGGCAAAGAACTGAGTCCTCCTGCTCTTTACATGTGTGCCTGTATCATGACTGGGTGTGAATTCTACAGCATTTCTGCAGTGTCCATGACGCCGTGATTGTACTCTATGTTGTTTTATCTTTGGAGTTTATAGATTTGAATTTGAATGTTTTGATAATCCGAAATACATCGTTGGATGTGCAAAGGAATGCAAGGAAGGATCAACTCTTTCTGGCCAAAATGGAGACAGTGCTGTTTTTTTTTTTGTAATATTTCTTGAATGTGTCTAAGCAGAGCTGGCACTCTGCCCAGGGATAGGGGAATGAGATACCCAGAGTGCAGGGTTCAGACACTCACTCCGAGGCCTGTGCAAAGACAGAGTTAGCACAGACATGGACCTGAGAGTAAAGGCTTCCTAATGTTTGCACCCTAGGCACCCTTTTTCCCCTGAGCCTACAATATAAAAGGGCAGCACTGGAGCTAATAATGAATGACTCTAGGGCACACTGTAAATGGAAGTGAAAAGCTGATGGGGAGATGGAAAGAGAGTATGGCAGCTTTGAAAGATGGGGAGAGTCTTGCAGGTGCATGTCTTCCTTCCATGTGTTGTCACAGGCCCTACTATGCACTGGTGCAAGCAGGCTGCTCAATAAATTTAACTGGTTGGTTAGCAGCTTGTTTGTCTGTGTGTTTAGGTATCCCACAGTTATAGTTCAGGAAAGATCTTTGCTATGGAGGCAGAGAAGATGAGGGAGACAATGAAATCTGGAGGGAACTGATTCATATTGTCTTTTAAGAAGGCCTGAAATATGAAGATAGAGATTCCCGTGGTGGTTGGTCTAAACTTTCAACTTTGAGTAAATATGGACTATCTTACCGTGGGAATTCCACGTTTGTTCTATGGAAGGAAGAACTTTCATTATTTTTGAATATTTTTAAATAACTGTAAATCATTAGATGACATTGTTTATAAGTCATTGCAAAATAATTTTAGTTTATTGATAGGTAGAGCTATAATGACTAACATATTTGTACTTGGTGAGTGCCAGTGATGTAAATAATCTCTATTTCATCCAGATACCTTTGGGTTCCTTTGTATTGTTATGGTGTAACCACCCACTCTCAACTATTCTATCTCCCCAGTTCATTATACTGTCTGTGTGCTCTGGTTTCCAGTAGCTAGCCCCTGCCTGTCTCTGCAGAGGGCCAACCGTGGATGCTG
Organism: Homo sapiens; assembly: GCF_000001405.40. Taxonomy (NCBI): domain Eukaryota; kingdom Metazoa; phylum Chordata; class Mammalia; order Primates; family Hominidae; genus Homo; species Homo sapiens. Next base: position 117,483,770 of record NC_000005.10, read on the forward strand.
TGTTTTGCCATGGCCTCCCATGCAGACAGCTCAGAGGACCTGGGGATTCCTGCTCCTTCCCACCTCAAAGTCAGATGCCATTTCTTTAACATTCATTATATGGCCGTCATGACCTGCTTCCTGCCTGTCCTGTGAAAACCCTGCATCACTCTCCCCCATAATCCTTTCATTCCAGAATGCTCTCTCATAGCCCCTTTGTTTCTTCTGCTAGAAATAGTGTTTCTCTTCTTTTACACCTCAGTCAGCTAACTCTGACTGGTCCTTATGATCTCAGCTGAAAATTAATTTTCTTCTTCATCCCCTAAATTTGGGGTTAGGAGTACATCTGATGCAATCCCAGAATGCTTTGTACTTCCATGACAAGCTTATTTATTTATTAATGTACTATTTGTACATGTTTAATTTATTTTCCTACCAAGTAGCCTGTGAACTTTGGAGACCAGGGATGGAAGTTTTGGCTTCACTGTGGTAACCTGAGGGTGTACACAGTGCCTGGCATATGCAAAACACATAATAAATACACATTAAATATAGGAGTAACTCCATGAATTGATTTGATAAATTGGTCAATATATGGTTTATAAATATAAATCACTTCTGGTAACCTGGGAGTATACATAGTGCCTGGCATATACAAAACACATAGTAAATATGTATTGACTAGATGAGTAATTAGATGAATTGATTTGATTAATTAATATATGGCTTATAAATATAAATCACTTGACATTGTGTCTTATTTTCTTGGCTTACATGCATATTTGCCAGATTCTACATAGTAACCTTATATATGTTATATGTTATTATGAGGGATATTAATATGTATATGTATGCTGCTTTCTCTAGAAAAGTTCAAAACCACTTTAAGAATCAACACATAAATACATTTAAAAACTAAATATTTAAAGATCACTTTCTATTGATTTTCTAAGGGGTTAGGTGTCAACATGTAACCAAAAATTCATGTTTATTCACAGAGAGTATTTTCTAACTTGGGGCAATCCCTGGCCACAAATGTATAATGTTTTCTCCTGCCCTCTCTCCCAGCTTAAGTGTATTCATTTAAATATTTAAAAATCAGTGTTGGCCTGTAATCCCAGCACTTTGGGAGGCCGAGATGGGTGGATCACCTGAGGTCGGGAGTTTGAGACCAGCCTGACCAACATGGAGAAACCTTGTCTCTACTAAAAATACAAAAAATTAGCCAGGCATGGTGGCACATGCCTGTAATCCCAGCTGCTCCGGAGGCTGAGGCAGGAGAATTGCTTGAACCTGGGAGGCGGAGATTGCAGTGAGCTGAGATGGCGCCATTGCACTCCAGCCTGGGCAACAAGAGTGAAACTCCGTCTCAAAAAAAAAAAGAAAAAAAAATCAGAGTTGGTTGGGATCTTCTACCATAAATATTCAGTATTCTGTGAACATAAAATGTCCCTCAGAAAAATTAGAGAGGCCTTTTAAATATTTTCCTAAAGCAGAATTTGCAAAATGATAGAACCTTGGGAGGAATCTCTTCTGAAAATAGAGCCCAAGGAAGGGTTTTTTTTTTTAAATTTCTTTACAGAAGTGTAGAACTCAGGAAAATTAAATCAAGGGAGAGAAAACCAATATAAGGATGTGTTCTCAGCCTTTGTCCACCACTGTGGGTGACTGTAGATGATCCATGTATGTGAGCTTTGAGATCATTCCACCAATGACACAAAAAGGAGAGTGATTATCAACTAGCTTAGGTACCGCAATGGTCAATGTGTGCTCCACTTGCATTTCCAACTACCCAGACTCTAACACTGGGTGACTGATTTAAGTGTAGCATGCTGAGGGGTCAGAAAAGCCCTGGATGGAAAAGTGAAATCTACTCAGTGCTGCTGAACAAAAATACATCAGGTTCCCCTCAGAGGGGCTGATTTCCTGAGCAACATCCAGAATATTGCTGGGTGTAGAAGATGTAAGTTGAAAAGCAAGAGTTATCCAATACACTTAGCCTGGTGGTTGGGGAATGAATACCTCTCACAGATGTGTTTTGTTTGGTTGTTGCAGGATTTTTTTTGTCAGTAAATTGCCAATATTTAAAAATCAGTAGAATTCATATAATAACCTGAATGTTGTGCTTCACTTCCAAAAATGAGATGAATCTCTCATAGATGTGGTTTGTTTAACCATTATGAAATCCAATTGTTTTGCCAATTAAGTTTTAATCTCTAAAATTAAGGTGATGTCACATAGCTATCTGGATTATAGATCACTGCAAAACTGAAACTCCTGGGCTCTAATGATCCTTCCACCTCAGCCTCCCAAGTAGCTGATTTGCTTGACTTCTTAAAATGGATCTTCTAGACGTGATGATTCACATTACCTCAAAGCTGGAAGGAAGTTACATGTGTGGTGTTCATGCCCTTTTAGATGGGGGCATATTCAACAGTCTGCCATTCACTCATGTTGCTCCCTCTTTCTATTTGCATACTTGTCTGTCCCCTGCAGATAGTTGCACGTGAGACCACAATTCTAAAGACTGGGACCCCTTCCCAAGGTAGATGGTTAATGTGTTTGCCTAATTGGAAACATCATTTGCCCACCTCTATTCTGCTGTGTGCCCTGAGCAGCTGATGTGCACAGATGGCATCTCTTGGGCTCCCTTTCCACTGTGGCTTCAGGTTGTTCTCACCAATGGGAGCCATTGGCAAGAAATCAGAGGGCAGGAGGAAAAACAGTTTGGGGAATATTTTCTCCACTCTTTCCCAGTTTCAGCATCACAGCTATGAAAGTGGCTGCATCCCTCTGTAATCACAGCTCCCCTGAGCTATCACTGGTCTCTAGCAGCTTAATATTCTCCCCTTTCCCTTTTAGGCTGTTACTAAATTTTGGATACCTCCACAGTATTCTTTGGGTTTTCAGAAACCTGACCTCACTACTGTATGCTGTCCCTTCATTAAAATATCTTCAGCTAATTCACCTGATCGAAATTCTGTTTATTGGCAAGGTCCTGACTAATATTAATAATAATAGAGCCACGCTTCTCTCAGCAGTCATTTGTCAAACCCTCTTTTCACTTTAGGGAAACAAAAAAATCTTTCTATTCTGAGCTGCTTTTACCTTCACTGCTGATCATGATCCAGTCCTGTTTTCCCACTTAGCTGACCATGTGCACTACTGAGGCCTAATCTGCTGCCTTGCTTTGGTTTACACTGTCTGCTTCAACCTGACAGCAGATTGATTGACTACTGGGCCAAGAGACTCCTTGCTGGGCTCTCAGGTTACCCACTGTACTTGGCAAGGCTTCAAGTGACCATAATGAGTTTCCCATCCACCAGCTGTAGCCCAACCTGTCTTGCTTGCAATAAGCAAGGGCAGTCAAGTCTCTTATCTTTCTTCCCTCCTCCAGAGCAGTGTTTGTGACTTTAGATTGTTTACTTTTTTGATAACAATCTGTGTAAAAAAGCCTATGGAGACCAACTTTTGATCCTGGTATGACAAGACAAAGATTCCTCCAGCAGAGAAGGCACCAGAGGCTTTAAAAGGTTGACTCTGACCTTTGCACAGCTTGACATGATGAGTAAGCTTTGGTTCACTCCTTGGTCCATCTTGCAAGATACCAAAGTGTCTAACTCCCCAGGCAAGTGCAGACTCCTGATGATCTTCTTAGCCTCCACTGCAGCTCTAAGCAAGCTCTATCAGCCCAATTTCAGATTCAGTATTTCAACAGCTGTTCAAGCTCCTGCTCTTACCACCGCATCAAAACACTAGAATGAGACAGACTTGGGCTTGAACACCTATTTTGCAAATATGAACAAGTTACTTAACTTATCTGAATGTATTTTTTTGTCTTTAAAACTGGGATAATAATTCCATTCAGGAAGATGGAAATAGATAAGTTATGTTAATTGCTATCCCAGTGTCTATTATGTAATAAACATTCTACAAATGTTAGTTTCTCTCATGAAATGGAATCCAAATTATTCATCCCTGTTATCAAATGCCTGCCAAGCATTAGCCAACTTTGTTAAATTCTCAACCACAGCGTAGAATCATGTGGTTAAGAGTATAATCTGTGGGTTGGGTGTGGTGGCTCAGGCCTGTAATCCCAGCACTTTGGGAGGCCAAGGTGGGCGGATCACAAGGTCAGGAGATGGCGACCATCCTGACTAACATGGTGAAACCCCGTCTCTACTAAAAGTACCAAAAAAAAAATTATCCGGGCGTGGTGTCAGGCACCTGTAGTCCCAGCTACTTGGGAGGCTGAGGCAGGAGAATGGCGTGAACCCTGGAGGTAGAGCTTGCAGTGAGCCGAGATCGCGCCACTGCACTCCAGCCTGGGTGACAGAGTGAGACTCCATCTCAAACAAAACAAAACAAAACCAAAAAAAAGTATAATCTAAAATCAGAAAGATCTGGGCTGAACTCTGGCTATGTACCTTCCCAACTGTATGATGCTATAAAAGTCAGCTGATCTTTCTGCATCTGAATGTATTAACTCTGGAATTCTATTGCCTGGGTTCAAATTCTACCTTTATTCCCTTATTACCCATGCAAACTTAGACAATGTACTTTACTTCTCTGTGCTTCTGCTTCCTCATCTGAATTTAGATTTTGACTGGAGATCATCTACCTTATTGGGTCATTGAGATAATTAAATGACTTAATTCTTATCAAGTGCTTAAAACAATGTCTGTTCAACATAAGTTAGCAAATACTCATTTCTTTATATGTAAGATTGGTGTGATATTTACTCACAAAATTATTGTGAACATTAAATAAAATAATAAATTGTGCAGAACCAGATGAAAGTGCCAACATCTGGCCATAGGCATTTTCTTAAGTAACACCATAAGCTGTTAACATAATGGCTGACACATATTTAGTGCTCAATAAATGTTACCTGTCACCATTTTAATATCATGTTAAGGTAAAAATTCACAACTCTCACTGACGTCTTTGTATGTAATTGATATCATTAACACCCTATACTCTTTCCTCAATAAGCCACCCTAATGTGGCCCAGCCTCAGATATTGCTTTTGTACGTCGAGAATATTGGGTCTGTTTGGTCTAATCTTCTGTACACAGAAGAGATAAGAGCTTGCTTTCACTCCCAATACATGTTTTGAATCCAACTTCTAACTCTAAAAAGAGTATCCCTTAATAGAGCTTTACAGGGATCTGGCCAACTTCTTGTCTAAAAGGCATAGTGGTATTCTCCTCCACCCCTCAAGGCTCTGTGAGATTGTGTGTACTGGCAATATGTGTCCAGATATTCCTTCTGGTTTGGGCCATTTCCAGATTGTGGCAAGCTATAATTCCATGAGTAGCTTCAAAGTTGCAGTGTAAAAACCTCTTCCATCTACTGTCCCTAGTTGGCTCCTGACCAATCACCCCCTTGAAGTGATGGTTATGTCAATAAAAAAATTATGGCTTTTGGTGTGGAGCAAGAGAGCAGCTGGCAAAAACTCTCCTGTCTCTTTCACTGAGCTCAGCTAACCATGTGCCACTTCCGTCTAACATCAGAGAAACAGGATAGCACACTCTCCAGAAAACAAGGCAGGCTTGCCTTTGCCAGCACCAAGGAGAGAAACGTGGTGAGAGGGCAGAGGGATGCTTGGGCAACAAGCTCCTCTTGTAATAGTCCATGAGAAAATGACCAAGAAATGTACTAAAGGGCTTCTGCTTAGACATTTTGTTCAAGAGTATTTATATAGATCCACACAAATGGATAAGTTTATAGAAGCACTACACTGAAGAAAGCCCTCTATTCAGGCCTCTCTCCCCAATTCTAAACAGGACTGAATGAACATCTCTGCAGATGGTGTTTCAAAATTCATTTGAACAAAAGTGGCTAGATGAGGTAATGGCCAGTTAGGTAAAAATGTGCTGGGAGAGAACAAGGGAAAATCCTTGCTGTAAAAAATTTTTTATTAAATAATTGGAAAAATGGAATGAAACACCTGCAGTTTATAAATCAAAGTTACCATATGGTATAGAATATTTGCTAATAAATTCTTATAAGCACAACCCTAAAAGTGAAGACTTTTAAAAGTTTTTGCTATGGTGCAATATCTTTTTATATTAGTTTATTTCATCCTATGACTTTTATTTCAAACTTTAAGTTAATAGATTATTAAATTGTACTTTGAAGCTCATTTCAAACTCATACTAGTGATAAAAATGCACAGCAGAGCAAATTACTGAAGAATAAATGGCAGCAATGAATTAACAGTTGGGGCATTAGAATAATCTTTGGACAGCTTTTACTCCACTTTTTGTTGATATTCAGTTTTATGTTGATGCTTTGGGGTGATGAAAGCAATAGTTTGTTAATGGTAAAGTGGTTGTAGCAAGTATCTTCATTTTCAGGCACTATATTATGTATACTTTTAATTGTCAAATATTCATTAGCATCGGCATTTTTTTCCAGACCTTCTTTCCTCTTTTAGAAAAGAAATAACAGTAACAGAAAAACAGCATAATAATCACTTCCTAATACCCCATTTACTTTTGACATGTAAAAGAACAATTTTGTTTTTAAAGACAGATGGTACATCGCTTGCTCTATATTATAAAATTCTTCCTGGACACATATTATCATAGACTCAAGTATCAAATATTCCAATCCACATTTACTTCTCAGGTATTTCATGCTGATAATTCTTACACCTTAAATACAGGACTTTAAAACGTAGAAATGGGTTCATTAAAAATATATTATATGCACGTATCTGAAAGAGTGTTGCAGAACCAAAACAATACCAATGTCTAAGGTTTCTAAATTTGTACTGAATTGCCTTTAGTGTCTTGGCATATGCTTTTGAATATCCTTAATGATTCTAGCTGTTTGCCCTCTGATGGTAGATTTAATGCTTCCAATTGTCTAAAGGGCTCTGGGAGCCAAGTTCAGTGCAAAAGGAGCTTTATTAGAAATAATTGCACTTACAAAATATTAAGTCCACTTTGTTAGTAAATTCACAAGTCATTTACTTTTAAACAACTCAGTGTAGTGCTACTATTTTAAGTTAAAAGAAAACTTTCACAGAGGTATTTGTAAAGTTTGGCATGTAAATCTGATTTGGTGAAAAAGGGTAAATTTAAGATTAGTAGAATAGATGCTTCTAATATGCTGGATAGCCAGCAGGATTATAATTTTCTGTAAAAATCCTATTCCAGAGCAAATGTTCATAAAAATCCTGAGGAAAAACCAAAATCTATTGGGTAAATGGTGATTTATATTGAATCAGAAAGATTATCATTGACATATCAGCCAAAACCATTTGCTGTGTTATAAAATCTCTCTCATTTTTAAAATCATAATTTGATGTCATTTAAAAGAAAGACACATGTCAACCCTGTAGTGAGCTACTAATTTATGTGTATATATACATATTTGTGTGTCATATACACTGTATACATTAATATATATTACATTAATATTTGTTAATATACATATATTTTCAATAATGTATTATTGAATGTTATTGAAATTATTGAATAAAAATAATATATATTATTTTCAATAATAAATTTCAATGCATAAAATACTTAACTATTTTAATTAAAGTAAATCAGAATTCTACATGTACTATTTGCCACAATCCATTATAAAGTATTTTAAAAAATTAAAATTGAAGTTTGCAAAAATATTCTTTGGTCTTTCACATTCTTTTTTTTTTTGCACGTTTTTATTTTTATTTATTTATTTTCATTATTATTATACTTTAAGTTTTAGGGTACATGTGCACAGTGTGCAGGTTAGTTACATATGTATACATGTGCCATGCTGGTGTGCTGCACCCATTAACTCGTCATTTAGCATTAGGTATATCTCCTAATGCTATCCCTCCCCCATCCCCCCACCCCACAACAGTCCCCAGAGTGTGATGTTCCCCTTCCTGTGTCCATGTGATCTCATTGTTCAATTCCCATCTATGAGTGAGAACATGCGGTGTTTGGTTTTTTGTCCTTGCGATAGTTTACTGAGAATGATGATTTCCAGTTTCATCCATGTCCCTACAAAGGACATGAACTCATCATTTTTTATGGCTGCATAGTATTCCATGGTGTATATGTGCCACATTTTATTAATCCAGTCTATCATTGTTGGACATTTGGGTTGGTTCCAAGTCTTTGCTATTGTGAATAGTGCCGCAATAAACATACGTGTGCATGTGTCTTTATAGCAGCATGATTTATAGTCCTTTGGGTATATACCCAGTAATGGGATGGCTGGGTCAAATGGTATTTCCAGTTCTAGATCCCTGAGGAATCGCCACACTGACTTCCACAATGGTTGAACTAGTTTACAGTCCCACCAACAGTGTAAAAGTGTTCCTATTTCTCCACATCCTCTCCAGCACCTGTTGTTTCCTGACTTTTTAATGATTGCCATTCTAACTGGTGTGAGATGGTATCTCATTGTGGTTTTGATTTGCATTTCTCTGATGGCCAGTGATGATGAGCATTTTTTCATGTGTCTGTTGGCTGCATAAATGTCTTCTTTTGAGAAGTGTCTGTTCATATCCTTTGCCCACTTTTTGATGGGGTTGTTTGATTTTCTCTTGTAAATTTGTTTAAGTTCTTTGTAGATTCTGGTTCCATATGAACTTTAAAGTAGTTTTTTCCAATTCTGTGAAGAAAGTCATTGGTAGCTTGATGGGGATGGCATTGAATCTATAAATTACCTTGGGCAGTATGGCCATTTTCACGATATTGATTCTACCTACCCATGAGCATGGAATGTTCTTCCATTTGTTTAAAAACTCTCAATAAATTAGGTATTGATGGGACGTATCTCAAAATAATAAGAGCTATCTATGACAAACACACAGCCAATATCATACTGAATGGGCAAAAACTGGAAGCATTCCCTTTGAAAACTGGCACAAGACAGGGATGCCCTCTCTCACCACTCCCATTCAACATAGTGTTGGAAGTTCTGGCCAGGGCAATTAGGCAGGAGAAGGAAATAAAGGCCTTTGACAAAATTCAACAACTTTCATGCTAAAAACTCTCAATAAATTAGGTATTGATGTTTTGCTGAACACCAAGATATTCAGACACAGGAGAAACCCCCGAGGAGCCATAATTAAAAATAAAAACAGCAACAAAAAACAAAAACTGCAAGTTCACACTGTAGGGAAAAGAGACTTCACAGATTTAATCCAGGGAAGTTACTAAGCAAGCAAACAAACAAAACACAACGACAATCCTCAATAAAAAAATCAGAATCCAAAGTTACTAAAACCTATAATAAAAAATGTCTAATATTCTACAAAATTTTAAGAGACCTGCAAAAAAAGAGGGAAAGAAGTGTGACATTCAACAAAACTAAAAACAAAACCAGTCAATAGAAACTGTCATTAATTGTCCACAGATATTAGATTTACTAATAACTGCAAATGAGCTATTATTGGTATTTTCAAAGAGCTAAAGACAACAATATTTAAAGATTTAAAGGAAAGTATGACAATAATAACTCAACAAATAAGTAATATCCACAAAGAGAAATGAATTATAAAAATAAACCCAATGGGAGTGCTTACAATGTGATTATCAAGGTTAGCATAACTATTGAAAAGCTCAAAATGTATGAATTCAGACATTTTCAAATGCTCTGGATGTTACAACTTGAATTCATTTTAGATACATATTTTTTTTTTCTCAACAGGTATATAATGCTGTGTATAGCATTTAACAAAAGTTGGTGCTTTCTTTTTGAAAAAATAGGTCCTGGCATTTTCTGGCCCCTTTTTTCCTCCTCCTTCCAATACAAATACTCACTTGCTCAAGAGCAATAAGTAACTCATCTTGGCACATTTTGGAAAAAAAAAAAAGAGTAATGGAACCAAATGTAACAATTTTTCACTCAATCCAGGGAAAAAAGATAAAATTAATATGTTCTGCATTTTTTCAGGATAAGACTGCTACTCCATTGATAGACCTATATCAGTTGGCTGCTAAAAGGACAAAACCCAACTGAAAATGGTTATTAGAGTCCATCAATTTCATGTGTTGATGTTACCAGCTGTACTTTCCACTGAGTTTCCAGTTCACTCAATAACCCAGAAACAGAATAAATTGAATTGTTTCTTTTAAGGAATAATATAGCAAAAAGCAATGTGAGGTCAAATTAAAATAAATACAGTAATATTAAGAGTTGGAAGAGTTCATAATTGGACAAAAATACCTGTGGCCTTTGTGATCAGAAATCCTTCAAATAAAAAGTTGCATAAAACGCTGGTGTGGATTATTGGCTGCATATCCAGATTGTATAAGGAAGAATCTCAACAAAGTGAGTTATCCACAGCATCTTGCAAGATCAATATGACTGAGCTATACAGTAGCTCAGGGAACTGATGAACCAAAGGCTTGAAAAGTAGGTTGGAGTTAAAGAATTGAAGCCCAGACTAAGATACCAAAACTCTGAATTCTTGCACTCTGCTGCTCAAAAAGCATTAATTGTTCCCCATCGCTAAATGTGAACAGACAGCCTTGAAAGATCAGTGTGGTACTCACATTAGGATGGATTGGAGACGCAGTGTATTGGAGGCAGAAATAAGATTTCAGAAAAAGATATTTTCAGAACAGAGAGTTGGCATCAGAGAAGGCCTGTTGATCACTTCCAGACTCTCCACATCAAATCCAATGTTAAACTACATTTTTATAAACATGAACCTTCTCAAACTCTGACAAGTTTGCATGCATAATTGAGTAACTTGTGACCTCTGACTCAACTTTAACATTCTTCAGTGACTTTGCAATTTTTTCTCACATCTTTCACACTTTATGAAACATATATTTTCAGAAAATTTTATATATATATAATCCTAACAATGTAATTAAACTTGCAGCTCAGTAATATATATCTTTAAATACTATACACTATCATAAAAATGTTATACATAGCACCATCTGTTGGCTGAGGTATCTTTAACAGATGAGAAATGTTTTATGTAAATTGGATTAGAATATCATTAAGAAATTTGAAAAGAGAAAGGGAAAATAGTTTTAATTAAGATGAGAAAAAGATGAAGTCTGTATGTGGTCACTGATAAGGAATGAAGCTTGTAATTCAGATTATTTTGGCCTCTGCCATGAGTAATAGCAACAAGTATGACAAATTGATCTTGTAATAATCTGTATTAATTTGAGATAATAAAAGTGATTTTTAAAAGCCATCCTTCATATATTTTACGTAAAACAGGTATAAATAGTGAATGCAGTCACCTTAAAAATGCAGTGCCATATGTAAAACAATTTATGAAATAGAGACACTATTTACTATGCGGTTAGAAGATGGAATTAACCAGATAATAAATAGTTTACATGTTACTCCTTGCTTCACTTTAGCCCATCTCTGAATATTCAATAGTGTAATATGTATAGACAAGCTGCATGGGAAATTTTAGTTATATTTACATGCACATCAGTGGAAATTCAGCAATGGAATAAAACTCTATCCTTAATATTTATTTCTTAATGAGTATTTGTCACAAGGACAGGTATCTAGTGCTTATAATTTTTTTTTTTTTACTTTTCCCTAGGTTGTGTCTATTGCTTTTAAGAAATACCAACAACTGAAAATTATCAGAGAAGTTCAAGAATACTATTTTCAGTATTAGATTTTCACCATCTACTATATCAGAAAATCAATAAATATACGTTAGGTGTCATGGCCGAATATTAGGCAATCCCTGTCTCTAAGGACTGCCAACACATTATAATAAAAGAGAAGATTCACATAAAGGACAATATAGGAAGAAAGGTTATATTATTTTAAAATGTAATAAATATTTGACAATAAATGATAAAGGTGTTCATATATGACAGTTCTTTTAGACCTGAAGTGGTAGGTAAGACTTAGTGCTTATATATCTTGTCCTTTCCATGCTTGTTCGTCAGCCGCTAAACTCCAGTCCATTATCCTATTGTTCTTTTCTAAATAAGGCTTTCATAGTTCTGTGTGTTTTCACAATGCATTCTCACCTATTCTCTCTTTCCAAACTCAGATTCACTCTTTAGTAGTCATCTTAACATGACTTTCATAGTGCTTTATCATATAGCCTCTGCTCATTTCCCAACTTCTTTCTCATCAATGTCTCAATGATATGGCATGCTCCATGTATGCTGAACTTATTTATGTTCCTAAAACATGCTAAATTCTCTTTTCTATATAATTGAAATTACTGTTTCCTCTGTCTACAATGCATTCTTTTTCCACCACATCTCATCCCATATCTCATTATTAGTTTATAATTCTAACTCATTTTTCATCTCTCAGATTAGAAATCATACCGTTTTCAGAAGCTTTCCTGTTTTTCCAATATGGGTGAAGAGTTCCTCTCAAGTACTCTCTTGTATGTCTGTGTATTAGGACTTACTACAACTATACTGTAAATTCCCAGTTCCTTTCTAGCCTGTAATTTCTATATATATTCTTTAAGACTGAGATCTAACCAGATAACGTAGTGTCTAATACATGGTGTAGACACAATAAATGTTTACAAGTAATTTAACATACAAATGATTCATCTCTCTTTAAAAAGCAGAGTTAGTTGTTACCCTTTATATGTTTCCAATTTTTTTTTTTTACCTTTTGTCATAAGTTACCATATTTATTTTAGGAAGTAGTTTAATCTTTATGTGCAAGGATAGGGACTGTCTTGGCAATTCCAAACCTTAGCAGAGTGGATGGCAGGATAGGTTTTAAATACACGTTTATTGATATATTAATGATAATAATATAAAATCAGATTGGTAGAAGGTCTAGAAAACTAAGGTACTACAGTTTGTCTCTGATTCTACTGCAAATCAATTATAAATGCAACAAATATTTTTCATCACACAACCAAAATTCAAAACTTTAGTCCTCCAAATAATGTTTTACAACTATTTCTTTAGTGCATTTTTTTCTCTAAGAGATATCAGTAAACATGCTTGACATATTTGAAAAAAGTTTTCATTTTTAAAGAAAATCTCCTTACTGTGGGATTTGCTGTTATTACTTCTTTTTTCCTATAGTTGTAAATTTATTGTGGCAGTGAACACAAATATAAATTGCAAGAACCTATTTGAACTGGTTTTATGCATTAGAATAAAACTTTGCAGTTTTATTAGAATATTAAACAGCTTTTGTTTTTCTTCTAAGATCTTGAATTCATCTGTATATCCTGGAAAAGGCAGAAAATAATCTTGGGAAGCTGAATTTAGTAGACATGTATATGGAACCCAAGTAATCTCAGGAGGATTGCAAATATGTAGTTATTCAGCATCTGCTAGACACTCTTCTGGATGTTGAGATACAGCAGTGAAAAAAAGCCCAACTGTTTTCATGGTGCTTATGGAGTTTTAAACATTGAAAAAAAAAGAAAAAAAAAGCAAATACAAAAAAGGAAACGAAGTTAAGATCAAAATAATTAAATAAGATAATTTTATATGAGTATAACTTCCATGGAGAAAATTAGAAAATGATAGGTTTAAAGAGAGGTAGAGCTTTAAATACACTGGCCAAAAAAAGAGTTAGCGTCTGAAAATGATTGAAAGGGCAAATGAGGGAAAAAAAAGTGAAAAATGCTTTAAAATAGAAACAAAAGTTTGTTAGCAAATTGACTGTTTTCTTTGATAGAGTTTACATTTTATTAAAGGTATATTAAATCATGACTCTTGATTGTTCCACCAGGTTGGGCAATTTGGTGAATTAAAAGGAGTTATGTGAGTACAGCATCCCACTCTAGGTAATAGCTCTTGGTAGAGCCCTATGTATTTAATAAGTGCTTAGGAGTATCTGTTGACCTGATTTGAGAATTTCTACTGGGATACATTGCTTTTCCTCTTTTATGACAAGAATAGTTTTAAAAATAAAGCACATTGCTTAAAATCAGGACACAAGATCACAGAGACCACTGTGTAAGGCAAGTCCATTTTTAAGCCTAACAACCTTGAGGGTGTCCCTTTGAGCAGGAAGTATTACATGTATACTGGGAAGAAAAAACTTCATTACTGTGTCCATTCTTTAGGAATCACAACTATCCTTTCAACTAAATAGTTTGCTCTGTCTCTTGGGATATGATTTGGATCTTTGAGAAGGAATGCAAGGTTATTGGTCTGGCTTGAAACGTTTGCACATGGTAATCTAAATCCCTGAAGAAACTTTCAAGTTTCTGGCCGAGGCTGCTGCTATTGAGTACGATAAATATGTTTTCAGAAACTCAGAGCAATAGAGAGTGAAATAATTTACTGGTAACCTTTTCAAAACTTTAGTTTCCTGTTGTGAACATAAGTTTGGTCTTTTGTCTCATTTGACTATCAATTTTGAGTTGCTTCATTAAATTTTTCACTGGGTCAGGGCCAGGTTTCTCAAGGGGTGGGAAAGAAGCATACAAAATTGACTAGGTGTAGGCTGCTTTTGAGACATGTTTTCTCCTTTGCATTCTGTGTTTAATGTGTTTAAGAGCTTTGGGAAAAGGAGTTGTATTACCTGCCCTGGGACAAATTCTGCCCTCAAAAACAAAACATAATTGATTTATAAGTTAGCAGTAATATTTCAGAGAAAAAGTTATTGATATTTTTATTTATCAACATAATTATTAAGGTGCAGGAAGGGCTAATGATATAAATATTTAGTTTCACAATTTCACTTTTAAAAGTTAGCCTAGTTCAACTCTCTGTGTATATTAACACAGATAGTCACAGGAAACCCAATCATGGAAATTTGTTGACAAACATGATCCCCATAAATCTGGGAATTAAGACCATTTCATTATGTATACTTTATTTCAGGTATTGGCATATCCATCTTTATTATCATAATCACTGAGATATGTATGAAAGTAGATATGTTCCTGGAACTTTTTATATAGCTTTATACACTTTATCTCATTTAATATATACAGTAACCCTGTAAAGTAGCTATTTTTTATGGCTACATATTATGAATGAGAAATAGAGTTTAGAAAGTTTAAGTAACAGGCCTAAGGTCACACCCAAAATTTCCAAGTTGTGCACAAGGTAATTTCCGGTACCATAAATAGCCAATAGGAAGATTCAAATCAAAACGTAGAATTTTATCTATTTTGTGAATGCTTTGATAGTCAGTGATCCTTGATACTCTCATTTTTTTTTTTTTTTTTTTTTGTGAGAACAAGAAACCAATGTGATGGTCAAATTAAAAACATTTTCTCTAAAAGTACTAAACATTTTTGGGGTCATTATTAAGTCTAAAAGGAATAGAGAAGTAACCCCAGGAGAGTAAAAAGTCCCACTTGTATTTCTGTTTTCCAATCTGAGAAGTACTAGGTGGGCTCAGCTAACTCTGTAATCGTATGATTTCTAGAAGTGAGTAAAGAAGTCCTTGGTTTCTTCAAGGTGTCTCGTCCTGTATAGCTACTGATACATTGCAAGGAGAGTATGAGAGAGGCAATACAGTCCAGAGAACAATGTCTGGGTTAGGGTGGCTGAAGGCCACCTTTACTATTCGTCTTAGGAGCAACCTCCCAAATCTACAATGTAAAAATGGTGGCTTTGATACAGTTACTATCTGAGGTCTTCCCCAGATATATTTTTTTAAATATATGCCTTAATTTTCGCCTTGACTTCTTTCTTAATGGGCCTCTTCTATTGAAAGCATTATGTTTTAGGAACTATTGTCCTGTGAAGATCTGAACCCAGTGCCCTAGTTCACCTGTGTCTTCATCATTTAGTATAGCAAATTAGTTTGTTGTTATGAAAATAAAATTCACAAGTAATTTTTATGTCAGCTTTGTGTATTATAGCTAGACACCCTTGACACAGATTTATTGCACTTCTTGGCAAAATATGTGAGCCAAAGGAACTTTCAAGACAGCAAAGAGAAATATTACAATAATGCAGTGTTTTGTGATGAGATAGGTTAAATTAAAGAACACTGGTGTATTGTGAGGAAAAATATACAAACAGTTATAAAGAGAGGTCATGACACGAGTTCATTCACATTTAAACAGGCTAGAAGAAAAGAATCAGGTTATTTCTGAAAGTCGTTGTGAGTGAGATTGATGCTTGTAGTTTTAGGAAATCAATACAGTGCCGTCTCTACAGTACATCTTGATTTGTAATTCATACAGTGTTATGAAATGTTGTAAATCTTCAGGAAGAAAAGGGGCTAAGCCTGAGGAGTTCATGCAGGAGAAACTAATGTTAGAGCAAAATGATGACTATCCCAGATTTTACACTTATTTCCTTCTCTTTTACCTATTAAATTTAGCTTTATGGTAAAAAGCCATGATATCTGTCAAAAGATATAAATGAAGGTCAAGCCATATTTGTTTTTCAGTTAGTGAAAGTCTAATTTTCATGCTAAATGTAACTGACAAAATGTTATGATATATAAGGCTTAGTTAAAAAATGTAAATAGAGGGATGTATAATTTTTTAAATTACTTGAAAATATTCAAATTTTAAAACCTTGTATTTCAATTTATGACTCAAGTGGTGAGCGTACAGTCACCATGAAGAAGAGAAATAAGATTTAGTTTCATTTAATAGATAAAATATGACATGATATTTTAAACTTAAATGAAAACTACATTATTTGTTTCTCTGAGTAATTATTATGTAATAATTAAGATTGTAAGTTTTTAAGAAAGTGACAGTATCTATGTTTTTTTTTTTTTTTGAGATGGAGTCTCGCTCTGTCGCCCAGGCTGGAGTGCAGTGGCGGGATCTCGGCTCACTGCAAGCTCTGCCTCCCGGGTTCACGCCATTCTCCTGCCTCAGCCTCCCAAGTAGCTGGGACTACAGGCGCCCGCCACCACGCCCGGCTAATTTTTGATTTTGTATTTTTAGTAGAGACGGGGTTTCACCGTTTTAGCCGGGATGGTCTCGATCTCCTGACCTCGTGATCCGCCCGCCTCGGCCTCCCAAAGTGCTGGGATTACAGGCGTGAGCCACCGCGCCCGGCCCTATGTTTTATACTCCATGCTGAATAGAAAAATTTGGACACATCATTAGACTCACAGTAAACACATATAGAATAGCATAGCACAGTATAGGGTAAAACTGGGTAGATCACAAGATCTTCTCAAACGCTTTCAGTTAAATCCATCTATATATAATAGCATAAAAATTGTGCTACCTTACATTATTGTTTGTAACCAAAAAAAATTTAAAAAATGAAAGTTTAGGCTCAGTAAATTAATGGCTGATTCTGATCAATTTATCTGCAAACCTAACATCAGTCTGCTAAATTCTACTTTTTGGGCCAGATGATAAAACTTTTTCAACACTGAGGCGTGTTTTTATTCAGCCTTTCGTTTTTCTTTAGCACACTACAACATATTTCTTCATCATAATCATAGTAATATTATGCCCTACAATATTCATTGTTTTACAATCAAATGAAGCACAGCACACTTTATTATATACATATTTTCCAGCTACCTACCCACCCTGCTATCTGCCACCTGGTTTAGAAAAAATCTTGACCCTTAACAAAAGATTGCTAGCTCTATTCTGTGGGTAACTAAGATGGTTTTCCAGTAGTGTTCTAGAGACAGTATTCACAAGAGCCAATTTTCGCACAATTTTTTCACAATCTATGTTAATTGAGAAAACACTGGTAGCTTGAAATTGACCGTGGAGGGAATATTTGTACTATGGAAATTGGCAAACCCTATGAATCAGGCTTTTTTCTCTCCTCCCCCGCCCCACCACACCCCTGGCTCCTGTGATAGCCAAGTATGTTAAGTATACCAGCCTACCACTGGTTTTCCTTTCTTTTTCTTTTTCTTTTCTTTTCTTTTTCTTTTTTTTTTTTTTTTTTTTTGAGATGGAGTCTTGCTCTGTTGCCCAGGCTGGAGTGCAGTGGCGCTTTCTTGGCTCACTGCAAGCTCCGCCACCTGGGTTCACGCCATTCTCCTGCCTCAGCCTCCCGTGTAGCTGGGTCTACAGGCGGGCGCAACCATGCCTGGCTAATTTTGTTTTTGTATTTTTAGTAGAGATGGGGCTTCACTGGGTTAGCCAGGATGGTCTTGATCTCCTGACCTCGTAATCCGTATTGTCTTTTCTATTGCTTCCCATTTTTACTGTAGAAAAAATAACAACAAAAAAAACCATAGTGGTATTTTAACTACTTCTTTTACAAACTCTAAACCACAAATAATCATGGGATCCGACAGGCCTGCAAAAATGGAGATTTATAGATATATTTTGGAAAAGAGACATCTTTATTTCTTACCATTTGTAGTAAGAGGAAAAGATGTTATTTTTAATACCCAATTCAAGTATATATTTTGATACATTGTATTTTCATACTCAAAGTCTGATGAACTTTACAGCCTTTGATAACTGGAAATTTAGAAAACATTCCTTCCTATCTGGGCTTGTAGTTTCATTTCATTTGGAGATTGAATTTGTCTTTCTATTATTCCCTACCTGCTAAATTGAACTTTTGGAGTAGTCTTCAAACAGTGATGGGATGCACAATATGATTATGTTTTAGAATGAAAGTATTAATGAAACAACAAAAACTATTAATAGTGTTAAATTGTAACAGGTATATTTAGCCGTGTATGTTCATTTACTGTACTTACATGGTATTTTTTCTCTTCTATTTCATATGTGGGCCTAGAACTACTTAGCATTTTCTCTTTCATTTTTAATTGAAATACAATTATGAAATAAGTATGGAATTCACATGGGGAGGCTTTCCATTTGCTCCACTATGTATGTCAAAGTACATGTGATTTATACTTTTCTCTTTAAGTCAAACAACATTAGTTTTCTTTGAACATCTGGGTGGCATCTGGGAGATCTACTCCACGCAGCATTAATCAGAATATCATTGTGCAGTATGGGTAATGACCGATGTGAATAGAATACATTTATATGTAGAAAAGCTCACTTTATTGATTTAATACTACTCAGTGTCCTGAAGTGCTTTGGTTTTCAACGCAATTTAAATATACTGCCAAAGTTTTATTTATTTCATCAATTTACACAATATTTGTCTTCCAAAGTACTGTATAGTAATCGCAACCAGGCAAGACCCAAAAAGCACTTAGTCTTCCATCTTCAGTCGTTCTCACTGATCATTTTCCTAGGAGCTAACTTTATAACCAGCAGCTGTCTGGGTTAAGATATAATGCAGCCGGCCAAGCAAGGTGGCTCACACCTGTAATCCCAGCAGTTTGGGAGTCTGAGGCGGGTGGATCACCTGAGGCCAGGAGTTCAAGACCAGCCTGGCTAACATGGTGAAACCTCATTTCTACTGAAAATACAAAAAATTAGCCTGGCATGGTGGCGTGTGCCTGTAATCCCAGCTACTCAGGAGGCTGAGGCAGGAAAATTGCTTGAAACCGAGAGGCGGTGGTTGCAGTGAGCCGAGATAGCACCACTGTACTCCAGCTTGGGCAACAAGAATGAAACTCTGTGTCAAAGAAAAAAAAAAGAAAAAAAAAGAAAAAAAAAATATATATATATATATTGCAGTCTTTTTCTTTTTTTTCCCTTCCATCCTCTCCTGTGTGAAAGGGACACTTTCACTTTGTTTTGCCAACAGTCTGCTTCTCTCTCTCTGCCTCTCTCTCTCTCTCTCTGTCTTTCATTCCCTGTCAGTCTCTTTCCTCATTAGGAATCATTTCAACGTCTGATCATGGAAAACATAAAAATTAAATTGTTAATGTCTTGCTATTTTTTTTTTAAAATTTCATGCAGTTTTCCCGTCCTACCCTATGTAAATTGTTTGCTTTCTTTTTGTTCTTCTCTGAGTGTCTCCTATTCTTAGCCTAGTTCAAAAGCCCTTAAAGTCAGGACTATTTATTGTTGTATGGGGGTCAATCTTACTATCTCAATTTATGAATGAAGAAAAAAATAAGAGAAAATAAAGAGACAAATACAAGAAATGTGAATTAAAATGATATAAATCTAAGGGCTTTTAATATGTTAATTATTTAGTGTTTAAATTATTTTTGAAGGCATTCTTTAAACCCAAACCCTCAAATAATGAATAACTAGCATGTTTAAATTTTTAAAAATTTTTTATTTCCATTGTTTTTTAAAATATTTTTTGAATGTTCCAGTGTTTCTTAATTGTTAATCCCCTGAAGGGAAAGACTCTGTTTAAATCATCATGTAAAGAACAACATGCCAAAGAGAAACAAATATACATTTTTCTGGCAATTAAAATAGTAATCAAATATTAACTGGTTTTATTACTTTCCTTTTACTTATGGTAGCAAATGGTCAGTATGGTAAGAGGCAAAATGAGTCAGTTATCTCTGAAGTTTGTTTATCTTATATTTCTCTAACAATGAAACATAAATATGTCTATAGGTTTGAAATTCTAATTCTGAAGCCAGGATTACAAATGTGAAGGCAATAGGAGTACCTGCTGAGCATATTCTTCCCAACAAATACATCCAATAGCGCAAAATCACTAGAGATGACTGCTCTCTGTTTATCACATCGGATCTTCTTTAGATACCAGAATCAGAGATTCTTGATTTCCAGACAAATATGACTGTGGTAATCTTGATTTTAAAAAATAGCACATACCTTTAATTTCTACGAAAATATAAAATTTGATATTTCTCTCTAGTTCTTATCCCAGTTTCCAAATGACTTTGCCTGTGATGATTATATACTATTAAACTTTGACTGAGGTCTTCCCCAGATGTAGCTACATGAGTCACTGGTTAAAACATTTCTTTACAGATGTTTGGAAAGTGCTCTGGGAGTTGGTGTAACAGAGGGTGTTTACTTATATGCTGCCTCAAGTAAATCAGCGACTGTTATTTCATGTACCAGAAGCCTAATGAGCCAATGGTGACTGCAAAATAAAAGCAAACTGGGTGTTATTCATCCCACACATAGCTATTAGGAAGAAGAAAAACTAGCTGTAGATTATGCTAAGTCAAAACAGCAGAACAACCAATTTTACCGTTTCCTACCATTGCTTTAACAATTGAGTTTAGCACTTAAGAGGTCACAAAGCAGTTCTGTATCTAACAAATGTTATGTATTAAAATAATTTAAATAGACATCTCTCTTCTTTTGAGAGAAAATGAGATAGTTTCTGGCAAGAGATGTATTGAGCAGATAACAACTCAGAAAGCAGTCTAAATAGAGGAGAGTGGAGCAAAGGCACAAAGAAGGGGTGACCCTTGATTTCCTCTGTGTTTCCCTGCAACCCCCTAAGCCCCTTAGTAGCTATTTTCTGCTTGCTATGTAGGTCATTATTATGGCTGGGAGTGCATTAGGGATTCACTTTTTTACTCCTATATTCTGAGCTGCATTTTTCTTGTACATATACACTTACAAACACAGACATATATACTCTTTTCTAATTATACTGTTATCCTGGAAATTTCCACTTTTGTGATGAGGATACTAAAAGCACAGAGTAAGGAAAAAGCCACAAGAACTTTCAGATTTTAGGGGGGTGTTTCTCCTTTCTAGACTCCAATGGCTTGGAACTTCTGTTCTCTTGAGGGAGTAGTGTTTGTGCTGATTGAAGTGACTAAATTTATAAGCAAATTGCTGAGTTGGAGATATGAGAACAGACACCAACACGAGAGGAGGAAGAGAGAAAAAGCCTCTCACAATGAAATAGTAGCATGTAATTTTTAGAACAGTAAGGGGGGTATCAAAAAGTGGAGAAAAATACAAATATTTGAGGGAAATGGAACAATACCTCTACTTGATTAATCAAAGGTGGGTTTAGTCCACACATTTGTGATACACGCAGAGGCACACAAACATTCAAGCTCACATTACCAATGAGGGAATGTCAGTTACTTTTAAATGTTTTTACTTCACTATCAATAACCAAAATTAGTGCTCTGATTGTGGCTTCAATGTCAAAATATTGGGGGAAAAATCAGAACTGTTGTGCCAAATTGTGCTTTCTTGTTTCAGGTTCACTGGTCCACTTGTGAATTCCTTAAGAGAGCCAAGGATTTGAAACTCAGTTGGCATGAGTGAAAAGGTGTGCCTTTCCTTGATCCTTGTTTTTCCGAGGTTGTGGACAGTCATGATCTTTTCATTTTATGTGATCTCATGGGTGAGAGAACTGCACACCTGCTTGGCTCACACTAAACTACATTTTTTAAAAGCCTAAATACATAACAGATGCACCAGAGGATTTATTCTGGGAGGAATTTGCTTATAAATTCAGACAATTAACACAAACAGCACAGTCATAATCTTATCCCTATGCCGTAATTACGGTATAGATTAAGTTGGCATTGTGTATTCCTTATGGAAATGAATCCAATATGTTTTATTCATATTTATTAGATGTGCTCAATAAAACATATTGCACATATATTTAAAATACGAGACAGTTTTATACATGCTATTGGAAATATAACCTAGTTAAATATTTCTAATGATAGTAACAGTGTTGACAGGTGATATTCTGTTTGCAAATCTTTCTAGAACTTATCAGGACCACCAAATCTGTCAGACACTCTTTGTTTTTGTTTTTGTTCTGAGACACAGTCTCACTCTTTCACCCAGGCTGGAGTGTAGTGGCGTGATCTAGGCTCACTGGTACCTCTGCCTCCTGGGTTCAAGCAATTCTCATGCCTCAGCCTCCCAAGTAGCTGGGATTACAGGCGCGCACCAAAACACCTGGAGAATTTTTGTGTTTTTAGTAGAGATGGGGTTTAGCCATGTTAGCCAAGCTGGTCTTGAACTCCTGGCCTCAAACAGTCGGCCTGCCTCGGCCTCCCAAAGTGCCGGGATTACAGACATGAACAACTACGCCCAGCCTGTCAGACACTCTTGAAACCTACTTCCTCCAGGAAACTTTCCTCAACTAAATCGAGTGATGCTGAAGCCCTTGACATAGAAATTCCTCAAATCCTCTTTCTTCACGGTCCCTCTAAATGCGGCTTTACAAAATCAAAATGCTTCATTTACTCCTTCTGATTTTCCTCAGAGTAATTATTGTGTGTCATTGCTCTTGTTTGAGACAGTAGGTTTCACAATCACAGTGTCTCAAACTTACTCATTAGTGTAATGCCAAATGTTTACTATATTCAAGTATCTATTGTAATATGTTATAAATTTCACAAAATTGGCTAATTTTTATATTTAAGTCATTTATTTAAAAGGGACATTTTAATTACTACTATACATCTGAAATTAGTATTTTTCATAAATGAAAGATAAATATAAAAGTAAAACAATAAAAACATAATAATGTAATTAAATTCCACCTTGAAACCTTCGCCAGAGGAAGCTAATTTAATGCCTGATTCCCAATTGTCAGAAAGGACATAAGAAGGGTTAAATGTTAACGACTTAATAGTAACAGGCATAGGCTTGCCTCTGATGTAAACTGAGAGAATAAAAAAGCAATCTTAATACTTACAAAGAATTCTTAGGAAGAACAAAAATTAAAAAGGAGTAACTTTCTCACCATTTTTTAGTAATGTACTTGTATTACTGACTACAGTCATCTTATGTACCATCACTGTAGTGAGTCACACATTTGAGGATCTTCTGCCTTGCTGATGTGCAGTATTATGTCATCTGTAAAGTATACAATATGATATAAAATATAGACAGTAACTTTTTTATACAGAAAAAAATATAAAAGGAAGTCCACTAATGTGAAGTTCAAAAACACTCTAATACATGGTAATAGGAGTCAAATTAGTGGTTACTTTTGTGGGTTAGTTCATGACAGCAGATATTCAGGACACTTCTGCAGTGGGGGGTGGTAATATTCTATATCTCAGTCTGGGTAGTAGTTACATGATTGTGTTTGCTTTGTGAAAATACATTCTGCTGTACACAGTATATGTGCACATTTATGTTGTGTGTTATGTGTCAATAAAATATTATTTAATACAATAATAATAAAAAGATATACTTGCTTACTTAGGAAGAAGTTCACAGACAGGATGGCATCATGATAAGTAAACTCCAGTGGTGTGTTAAAGATGGCTTGTACGGGCTTGTGAGAATTACCAGCTAATCTTCTGGAGTTTTGTAAGCTGGCTATTAAACACAGCCATTGCCCAAAATCAAATTATATAAAATCATGTTAAAATTAAAGGTAATAAATATAACTCATTATTTCCTAATTATTATACTATTGTTTATATTCTTGAAGTTATTTACTTCTAAATTCTATGGTGAAAATACCATGTAATGTACTACTCCACATCTTTGCCCAACTCTGCTTAGTGACATCAAGGTTGTTACCTTAAATCTGCCATGCAGAGAGTATTTCCACCGCAAAAGTTATCAAACAATATAAATTAGGGCATCCTTTACATCTAAAGAGCCAATTGTTAAACATAGCACAACACTGCTACATACAGTGTTTGAACAATGACATCAAAAAATCAAAGACATTTGCCTGAGGTCTTACTCATGAATTCCTTGCCTAGACTATTGTCCAAAAGAGTTTTGTCTAGGATTTTCTCTAATATTTTTATAGTTTCAGGTCTTACACTTAAGTCTTTAATGCATCTTGGGTTGATTTTTGTATATGGTGAGAGATAAGAGTCCAGTTTCATTTTTCTGCATAAAGAAATTATTCTGGTGCTGAACACACAAAAAGCCCTGACATCACCACTATGCACTACAGTCATGTAACAAAATTATATTTGTATCCCATGAATTTTTACAAGTAAAATTTTTTTAATTAAAAATGTTTGTAATACATACAACTAATACAAAAACTGATATCAAGAATATGCAAAAATCTCTATAAGTCAATAGAAAAAAAAGATAGACACCCAAATAGAAAAATAGGCAGAAGGCCTGAACCTTGCAAAAATGTATATATGTGATCAAAAAGTATGAAAATATGTTATACTTCATCAGTCATTAGGAAAATGTAAATTAAAATCATAGTGAGATACAAATATAAATGCACTGGAATGGCTAAAATAAAAAAAAAAAAACTGAAAAATCTAAATGTTGGTGGCATTGTGGAGCAATTACAACTTTTATACCCAACTGATGAAAGTGTAAATTTGTACAATACACATGGCAGGACTTTTATAAAGCTACACATATGAAAACCCATGACCTAGAAATTCCCTTAGATTATACTCAATAAGAATGTTCACATATCCAAATGGACCTAACAGACACATAAAGAAATTTCCAGACAATATCAGCAGAATACACATTCTTCTCAATCTCATATGGCACATTCTCCAGGATAGATTACGTGTTATACCACAAGTCTTAAATATAAGATATTGTACCAAGTATCTTCACATATCAGTAACAGAAATAAAACAGAAAAATTTAAAAACATGTAGAAACTAAACAACACGCTCTTGAACAACAAAGAAGATGCACAAAGAGCATTTGACAAAATTCAACATTGCTTCATGAAAAAAACCTCCAAAAAGGTAGACATTTTATAAATGAAATTATAAAACCACTGGATAAATGATAAAATAAGAATATTTTAAAAAATGTGATTCTAAAATACAAATACAGCCTACCAAAACTTATGGGGTGCAGCAAAAGCAGTACTAAGAGGCAAGTTTATACTGCTAAGAACCTAGATTATTAAAGAGAAAAAAATCTAAATTTAAAACAACTAACTTTATACCTTAAAGAACTAGAAAAGCAACAAGTTAAACAAGGAAATATTGAAGATTAGAGCAAAAATAAATGAAATAGAGGCTGGAAAAGCAACCGAAAAAAACAATAAAACTAAGTGTAGTTTTAAAAAAAATAATAGTTTTTAAAAAAATAATATTGACAAACCATTAGATAGGCTATAAAGAAAAAAATTATTTAAAATCAGAAATAAAAAGATATTACAATGAATGACACAGAAATGAAAAGAATAAGAGAATATCATAAACAATCATATGCCAAAATATTAGGTAAACTTAAAAAATGACAAATTCCTGAAAACATACAACCTATGAAGACTAAATCAAGTAGAAACAGAAAGCCTGAATAGACCAAAACAAGCAAGGAGTTGAATCAGTAATCAAAATCCTCCCAACAAAGAAAATTCCAAGACCAGATAACTTCCCAGCTGAATTCCACCAAACATTCAAAGGATAATTAATATCAAACCTCCTTAAACACTTCCAACAAAATAGATAAAGAGTGAACATTTTCCAACTCATTTTATTAGAAAAGCATCATGCTGATTCTGAAGCCAGACAGAAACGACATACATAAAAACTGTTGGTCAATGCCCTTGATGAATAAAGATGCAAAAATCCTAGCAAACAAAATTCAATAGCACGTTAAAAGAATGAGGCATCATGTTTAACTGGGATTCATCCTTTGGATGCAAGTTGTTTCAACATGAGAAAATCAATCAATATGATACACCATAGTAACAGAATGAAAGACAAAAACCACATGATTATCTCAAAGATGCACAAAGAGCATTTGACAAAATTCAATATTGTTTCATGAAAAAAACCTCCCAAAAGGTAGACATTTTAATAAATGAAATTATAAAACATTAATAATTTTTTTAAAGATACAAATAAGTGAAAAGACATTTCATGTTCATGGATTGAGCACAATTAATATTGTCAAAATATCCACATTGGTCTTTCACAGGTTGCCAAGAACAGACAATAGAGGAAAGAATAGTCTCTTCAACAAATGGTGTTGGGACAACTGGATATCCCCATGCTAAAATATGAAATTGGACTCTATCTCACACCATACACAAAAGTCAACTCAAAATGCATTGAACACTTACATATAAAACTTGAAACTGTAGAATTCCTAAAACAAACAAAACAAATAGGATAAACTTTCTTGATATTAGTCTTGGTAATCACCATTTGGATATGACACCAAAAGCACAGGTAATAAAAGCAAAAGTAGACAAGTGGGATTACATTAAAAGTCTTCTGAATAGCAAAGGAAATGATCAACAAAATGAAAAGACAACATATTGAATATTTGCGAAAAGTATTTGCAAATAATATATCTAGTGAGGGATTAATATCCAAATATATAAGAACTCATACAACTTAATACCAACAGTACAAATAACCCAACTTAAACATGTGCAAAGGACCTACATAGGCTTCTTAAAAGAAGAAATTTAGATGGACAACTGGCATACTGAACGGTACTTAACATCTCTAATTATCATGGAAATGCAAACCAAATCCGTAATGAGATACCACCTCATAGCTGTTAGAATCACTATTACAAAACAGATAAATATATCAAGTGTTGGTGAGGATGCAGAGAAAAGGGAACCCTTGCATACTGTTGAGGGGAATGTAAATTAGTACACCATTTATGAAAAAAATATGAAACGTCCTCAAAAAATTATAAATAGAACTACCATATGATCCAGCAATTCCACTTCTGGGTATATCCAATGGAAGTAATGTCACTATCTGAAAGAGGTATCTGCATTTCCATGTTCGTTGCATCATTATTCACAATAGCCAAGGCATGGAAACATTCTAAATATCTTCTGATGGATGAATGCAGGAAAAAAAACACAAAACTCTGTGTGTGTGTGTGTGTGTGTGTGTGTGTGTGTGTGTGTTTGTGTGTGTATTATTCAGCCTTTAAAACGGGTGGAAATCCTTCCATTTGCAACAATAATTGGAGTGGGAGGACATTATGCTAAGCAGAAAAGGTAAGACACAGGAGGAAATACTGTACAATCTCTCTTATATGTGGAATCTAGCAGAGTATAGTCATAAAGAAGAAAGTAGAATTATGGTTTCCAGGTAAAGGGGTGGAGAGGAATAGACTGATATTGGCCAAAGGGTGTAAAGCTTTAGTTATGCAAGGTGAATAATTTCTGGAGATGTAATGCTGTGCATGGTGACAATAGTTAAAAATACTGTATTGTATACTTGAAATTTGTTAAGAGGATGCATCTTAAATTAAGTCTCACCACACACACACACACACACACACACACACACAAATGGTAACTATGCAGAGATGATAGGTATGTTAATTAGGTGGAATGTGGTGATCATTTTACAATGTATACATATATCAAAACAAAAAGTTGTACACTTTACACATACACCATTTTATATGTCAATTATACCCTAATAAGCCATTGAAAATGAATAAATATAAAAACAAACTCAAAAAAATGACGAGCACAAGAAAGACGTTTCTCAATTCTCTCTTTAAGGATTGAAGAGGACATTCTCACAACTCTACAGCTATTTTATCCTTTTATATTATTTGTCAGAAGTGTCTACATGCTTATTCTATTAAGGAAATGGTATTTTCTTAATTCCAGTTCAAGTAATAGGCCAGAATGGAGTAGTCTTCAACCTTTAAGCTATTTAACAATGCGGGGGGATAGAATAGATATTAGAGAATCACTTCCAACACCCAAGCCATTTTGCTGCTTTCTGGTGGACACTTTTAACTTGTGGCCCATACTTAAAGCCACATTTTTACATCTAGAAATTTCTCAGCACAAACCATATCACAGTTTACATCATAATGTAAAGCAGTGATTCTCAGTTCCTTCAGAACCAATGATCCCTTCAATGTCTTGAATGAACTCCACATTTCTTTATCTCACCTTCTCGGATCAGTTTAAAGTTTCAATATAACTTTCTAATAATTGAAGAAAAATAATTTATAGTAAAATAATGTTTTATTATTAAAACATATAGGAATAACTACATTAGTTGACATAATGAAGTAGCCAGATGCTTGACGGCATTTTATGATGAATAAAGTTGTTTTTAGGGGAATAAAAATAATAACCAATAGAATATTTTGACACCTTTTCTTTATACTTGACATTTTAATGTGAGGACTATATAAGCACATGACTATGCAAGCTATGATTGAAAATTGATACAGGTGACTTAAATGGTTATGGCAAGTTAAATACCATGAGTAGCAATGCCTTGAGCAAAGAGATCTTTGAAATGGTGAACAACTTTGGAAAAATTTCCAAAAAAAACAAATTGCAATCTTCTATTGACCTACCCAGTGTTATATTTCTGGAGAAATTAACATATATTAAAACTTACACAAATCCTTCTTTTTATATGGAAAGCAGAGTGTTAGACTTGAGGCTTGTAAAATTATTAACAGGTGGTTTTCTTTGATAATCTCTAGTGAAAATTTCAAAAGTCTCATAGCACACAAGTAATTTATGGCTAAAATAATCTCAATATTATTTAAGACACTATCCCTGGACACTACACTAAATGCCAGAAGTCACTCACAAACATTTTGATAATCAAAAATGCCCTCACAGATTTCTAAAATGTCCCTAGGGCCATTTGCAACAGGGTTGTAAAAAACACTCTAAAAATGAAATGAACTTAGATCTTTGAGTTAGAGAGTCTTGGTTTTAATTCCTTATCCTATCCCTCTTGGTTGTGTGGACTTGATAAAATTAATTCGAGGTCTTAATTTTCTTCTGTGAAATAGAAACTGTATCCCAGGATTTTTTTTTAATGATTAATGAGGTTACTAGGCACTGAATAGGTACTCCCAAGTAGTTACTTCTTATTTCTCTTCACTTCTGTTTTTCTTTCCATATTACTGTACATTATTCTTTCCAGCATATTTATTTCATAAGAGGCTATCACCAAGAGGGGAAATTATAAATCAAAAATATACTCTAATCCAGTATAGGAGAAGACATTGGCAACCATGTGGAAAAATATGGAAGGATAAAATTGATTGCACTTGTTTTTCTTAAAAAGAGATGGTTGAAGCAGTCAATTTGATAACTCCTATACCTAAATATAACTCTTTCTTTAGCTCTTAAACTAGTAAATAAATTAAACACTGTACTTGGAACAAAGGCCCAGGCCATGTAAATGGCACCTCTACACAGGACATAGATAATATCATTAGAGCAATATTTTTTGAAATAGCAATGTCCAAAAAAAAGGCTTGGATAAGTAACCACACAAACCCACCTCCTAGAAATACGTTGAAGTAGTTTTTAGTTTATGTGTGCAGTGAGTTAGGAAAGGAGCTATTAAGCCAATTTTGTCTTGTTAAAAATTCACAGATTTAAAGGGGTGCAAACCAGAATATAGCAATGCCAGTTTCTTCTACGTAAGTTGATTAGGAAATCTTGATTGATGGCCTAAAAATTACTAGGATTATTCTTTGGAAAAGCTATAAATATTTCTTCCATGTTCTCAAATGGCAAAAAGGTCTTTTATTTGCTATAGTTGAAGTAAGTCTTCTACGTGGATGGCTGCATACATTTGGAAATTTGAAGAACGTAAGCATAACACACGAAGGTTGCCAAAAAGCCCCATAACACTATTGCACTAAATATTAAAGTATTCACATGAGAGTTTCACAATTGTTTCCTCACTTCCTCCATTACTTTAAAATTAGGTAAGATGCTGTTTTAATAATTAATTTCTTGGAAACAAGATATATTAGTCCTAGATTTAATACAATGAAGCCACATTTAAGACTGGGTTATATTTCTAAGGCTAATATCATTGGTATGATAAAAATAACCCTCAAACATTTCTTGATCCTTATTGAAGGTGCTACAGTGAATACTGGCGCTTTGTTGCTCGTTTTTCCCCATGGGTTGGAATACAACCCTGCTTTTTTGATGGAGAGGTACGTGATCTACTTTTCTTGCAGCTAGGGTTTGTTTTGTGTGAAATATACACATCTTAAAATACTGAAATCATATTTAATCTGTAAGAGATGTTCATATAATGAAAGAAATTACAAACTGAGGCTCACTGGAGAAACAACAGATTTATGGTTTCTAGAAATAAATTTAAATAAATAAGTATAAAAGCTCTTTAAAAATAAAGATTATTGAATCCCACAAAATATATCCTCAATTAAAGGGAAGATGGTATTTTCATCTAAAGGAAGACTCACTGTCTTAAAGAGATCACTGTTCAAGCTCCAATAAGCATTGGTAAAAATTAATAAATTGGTTACAAAATTTATGTGAAGGTATAAATGTCCAAAATATCCCATATTAAAAACAAGGAAGGAGAAATTGATTTCTAGATATCAGCTCTTTTTCTAAA
Organism: Homo sapiens; assembly: GCF_000001405.40. Lineage (NCBI taxonomy): Eukaryota > Metazoa > Chordata > Mammalia > Primates > Hominidae > Homo > Homo sapiens. The sequence continues at coordinate 117,514,715 of NC_000005.10, forward strand.
ACTAGATAATTAAACTTATGCTATATTAAAACAGAAAAAGTGACAGATGACATAGAATTCAGAAACATATCCATGTATGTGATAAAATCATGGAATATGGGTAGATATTACAAAGAATGATTTTTGACAGTTATTTTCCTTCAGTATTTGATAAACATGTGCTGCATCCTTCTGGCCTGTATGGTTTCAGATGAAAAATCTGTTGTCATCCAAATTGTCAATCCTTTGTAGGTAATGCATAGATTTTTTCAAAGAAACAACATTATAGCAGTTTAAATGAATGAGATATATATCAGTTTGAATAGTTCTCAAGAACTCACTGTTGACATGAAAAACAATTCAACAGTGAAAAACTATATACATTTTAATAGAATTTACATACAGATAATACTTTTGAAACAAACTACATTGAGTGTGTGTATGCATATATCTAAAATTATTAAAGTGACTCAGAAATTTCCATACAGATTTTTTTTTTATTGTAGAAGCCCCTCTGGGTAGAAGAGAAACAATGGGATAGACAAAGGGAGAAAAATGTTGACTTTATTTGTAATGTTTGATTTGTTCTCTAAATCAGATTTGAGGAAAGTCTTATGATTCTTTTATTCTGAGCAGAGCACACAGGTATATATATTATTTTTAGGTTCCTATTTTTTTCTTGTAAATATCTAAAAAATGGAAGTTTCCACTTGTGCATATTCTCATTTCAAACTGATCTACTAATGGTAATTGTGATACATAATTAAAATATTAAACTTTATACCACCTATAAAATATGTTCTAGAGAACCTCAAGCAGTTCAACGGACATATTTGGGCAAATTTTTGTGCCAAAGATGTAGGAGCTGGGCTTTGGAATATACTACAGGTTATTCTGTTGGTCAAAATGTGGACATTTTTGCTGAGAGCAGAGAGGTGTAATTAACCGTGGCTCTCTCAGAACTATAATTCTGTCTCCAGGTGTCTAGAAAAGGTATGCTTAAAATTAAAAGGAGAAATCTTACGATAATAGGTAATTTACTCTCTTACTATAAATTACAGAATTAACCTCCAAATCTGTTTTTTCTCCACATAAACTACAGTAGGCAGTATTCTTTAAAAGTTATATTCTGTGAAGCAGTGAATTATAGGGTTTCTAAAACTACTAGCTATCATCATTTTTAGAAACATACAACTCTCTTCACTAATGCAACTGTACTTACCCAAAGTTAAAATATTATTTATTTAGGTGTTGAAAAATTTATATAGATGCTTCTTTGCCAACCCATATCATTTACAGACCTATGGTAATGTGGTGACATTTTGATTTAGGCATATAAAAATTTCCCTTTATTAGATATTTTAAATAAAGTAAAGAAAAACTTCTGGAAGAGAGTTTTATTTTTGAGGCTTCTGACAGTTGTAAATCTCAGCAACATTTACCTTGTAAATTTCCTATGCATATGAGGAGATATCATTTTTCAAGTGTAGAGGCTACAATACCCTCACAGTGAATGTATGATGCTTTGCACACATTAGATCTAGTTTACTTTGTAAAATAATCATGTCTTTTGACCTGTTATATTAACTTAATGTCAGGGACTTCTAAGTTCCCTACTGAGCTTTCCCTACTGAGCTTTTGCCTTTTTTTTTTTTTTTTTTTTTTTTTTTTTTTTTATCAAAGGATTAGAGAAAGATGTAAAAAGAGGAAGGAAATTGAGAAAACTTGCCTTATGGGGTAGCAAACAACGAATGAAAATAAAAAGAAAATATCTTACACTTCTATAGCTCTTAGAAGAAGGAGACACTGTTTTAAGTAATTTACAAAATGTTCCTTTATTTTCACGGCCACTCTCTGAGATGGACACATTATTACAGTATTCCCATTTTACAAATGAGGAATTAGATCACAAAGAAGTTTAGAAACTCGACCAAGATCACACAGCTCATATAGTAAACAAAGAAGCTGAGATTTGAACCCAGGCATTTTAACTCCAGAGTTCATATTTTTGGTTGCTACACCATATTGCTACTGAAAAGTAAACCAAGGCTGTAAAAAGGTGACTATGAAGAAACCCTAAATCAATATTGATGTAGTTAAGATAATTTGAAATATTTTTATAAACTCTTTTTCTTGCAAAAAATCTGCTGCTTCTACCTCTTATTGCCTATCTTAGTAAATGTGACCAATAATCATCTTTTAATACAGGCCAGAGAACATAGACTCATCCTAGATTTCTACTACTTTTACACTACCAAAGGACCAAATCTTACAGGTTTAGAATACGAATGATTCAAACAGCTATCATTTACTCAGCATCTGTGGTCATAAACTGTGCAAGTTACTTGATCTGTGATTCTTGTATCTCTCATTTCATGAACACAATTTTAGGTAGGTATTATTATCCCTACCTAAGATTCACAAAGTTGCATTAATTTGTTTAAATTACATTGTCAATAAGTGACTGAACTGGGGATTGGCCCACACTCTTTCAACTATACCATACTATATTGATTATTAAGTATCTCTGCTGTGTAACCCATCTTTTCCATCCCCATTGCCATACCCTTCAATCATCTCATCATCTCATCTTCATTAGTACAAAATGTTCTTTAACAGATTTTGCTGCTTTTAGTGTCAAAATTCTCATACTCTCATCCATCCATATCCTGTTGACTATTATCTAAAGGGCACATTTGATTATGCCACACCCTTGTGAACAATCACAACTGTTTATTACAAGATAAATACAGTTTCATACATTCATAAGGCACTTCTAAATGCCTCCTTCCCTCACTAGTTTCTTATTCGCCCAGACTATCTTCATCCTTTGCACACAGGCGCACACACACACACACACACACACACACACACACACACACACACCATGCTCCAGTAAAATTAAACATTGGAAAGGTCTCTTTTTTCTCTTGCTGCTTAAACAGAAGGAAAGGTCTCTGAATGCACATTAGTGTTTCATGTTTGTATACACTTATTTATTTAAATCCCCTTTGTTGTGATTGCCATAGTATTTTTTTCTTAATCCAACTACAAACTCAATTCATGTCTTGTTGCTTTATGCATTCTTTCCCACATTCTTCTTGCCCTTATCCCAGTCTGAGTTATATATCTCTCTCTGTGTTTGCATACTTTTTATAGGACTATGTTGTAATTGTTGATTTTATTTTCTTTATATATCACATACAACGTAAGAATTTTCAGGATATAATTTTAAAGAAGACTAGGAAATCATCAATTTTTTAAGATTTTAATGAAAGAACCAACAGCTACATTTCTGAAAGGGTTTAAGTCAAGTCAGTATGTAGGCAGTGATAAGGGCCATACTCTCACAATTCCAGCTTCGTAGCATGTAGTTAAGCTAATAAATATTTCCTAAGCAGGTCGGCAAATGAACACTGCTATAAAAGAATCTTACATGATTATTTGTTTCATTTTGAAAATATACTCTTTTTATCCAATGAAAATATGCATTAGACTGCTGAGAAGGATGTATTAGAATGCTAAGTGTGGGTAAACAATAATTTTGCCTTGTGTAAAGAAATATGTGGTTTAAAAAAGCAAATCTATTTATGTGCACTAGTCTGAATATCAAGCTCATAAGCTTAAATTAATTTGGTGCTCATGTTGATTCAGAAATCGTATTTAGTCATTCACTCAACAGATACGTATTGAACGTCCCAAATAGAGGAGGAGAGGAAAGGATAGCTCATTTGTGGACGAAAGATGTGACATACAACAATGCTAGTCCAGATAGGAGAGGAACTGAGTGGTGAAAATGCACTGTGGGCACTGAGAACAGTGAATAGGAAGCAGTGGGAAGCTGAAGGGGCGTGTGTGCCAATGTCTGAAGGTATGATTTTGCCCTGAGGGCACTGTAATCCATTTAAAAATCACAAATTGATTATAGTCTGAGAAATATTACTCTAGCACCATCATGAAGCTCAGATAGGAGAAGACCTATTGAGTAGGGTTGTTATGAAGTAAACTGTTGGTTGACAATAGGAGGACAAGATTGGAGGCTAGTCAAGCAGGCCTGGAGATGAAGCATATAAAAGTCAGTGACATGGGATAAGGAATGACCAGCAATGAACAAGATGAGGAAGTTCTCACAGAATTTGGTTTCTGATGATTACATTAGTTTCCTTTTGCTGCTGTGACAAATAATTACAAGCTTAGTGGCTTAAAATAATATAAATTTGTTATGTTACACTTCTGCAGATTAGACATCTGAAATCAGTTTCATTGAGATAAATCAAAGTGACAGCAAGGCTATGTTTCTTCTACAGACTCTAAGAATAATCTGTTTTCTTGCTTTTTCCAGTTTCTAGAGGTCACCTGCATGCCTTGGCCTGTAGATCCTTCCTCCATCTTTAAAGCTAGCAGCACAGTGCCTTCCAAACTCTTTCTCTGTGAACTCTGCTTCCTGACTTTGCCTCTCTCTCATAAGAATTCTGTGATTCCACTGGGCCCACCTTTATAATCCACGATAATCACTTCATCTCAAGATCCTTAACCTAATCCCTCATGCAATGTAAGATAATGTATTCTTAGGTTCCAGAGATTAGAATGTGACATTTGGTCAGGGAGAATTATTCTGTCTACCATGATGGTAAAGGAAAGGTTGAGTTGTAGATTGAAATTCACATATTTGTCTCAGAAGTTGGTAACAGTATTTACTGATACAGATAATGAAGGGAAAGAAGGGTGAAGTAAAAGGGAATGCATCTTTGTATGGCATTTTGAATTTGTGCTAACTCAATATGGGATATCATATAGCTGACCAAAAGAAAGGTGGCCATATGTACTAAAAGCTTAGCAGAGAGGATTTGTCAGGATGTATTGATTTCAGGGTCATCAATATTTAAATGAATGGTAGGAATCCCACTTCAGGTCACGAAGAAGTAACTGGTTCTGAACTTGCTCTCTTTCTGTCAGCTATAAAACTTGACAAATATATAAGGTGTTGATTTTCAGGCAATAAACAACAGGCATTAAAAAGTATAATTCTTTGGCATTGGAAATCTTACAAGATTTATCCACAGACAACTTTGCTCTTTGCTTGGGGACTAGCTCCTGACCAGAGTGCAAGGAGCTCTAACACTAGGTATGATGATCCCATTGAATGAAGTGGCAGAGATCAGAATTCAGAAATGGGCACCAGAGAGGAGGAGACTAAACAGATACAGTACTCAGGTATTTATGGGAGGTTTTTTTCTAAGTTGTTGACTGTAGGCTTGGGTGCACAAGTACAGAGTAAGACTGGTAGGCTTACCAGGGAGTAGCTGCTTCACAGTTGAGAGCTGAACAGAGATATTAATAGTGGTGAGAGACATTAGAGCTCCATTTCAGCCAAAGAGGAGAGAATTTTCTTAAAGTTGTGGATATCCATCTGAAGCAATAAAATGCCCACCTAAGGTGTAAGAAAAATGTCTTATAAAAGAGTCAGCAATTTTTCAGGGTATGGTGAGAGAGTAAACATTTTAAGCTTTGTAGGCCATGTGGTCTGTGTTATGGTTACTCAACTCTGCTCTGTAGAACAAAATAGTCATAGATGATACATTAACAAATGGATGAGACTTTGTTTCATTGAAACTGCACTTACGAAGTCAAGAGGCAGGCTTGATTTGGCACTATACAGGCTGTAGTTTGCCAGTCCATGTCCTGGAGTAAGGCCTAGTCGCAATCTAACAACCCCCCACCCCTAGAAAAAACAAACAAACAAACCCTGAACTCCCCCTAAAATCCCTGAAAACAAGCCGTGGTAAGATCCCATGAGAGAACCAGAGATTGAATCTGCAAAGTTAGAGAGAAAGGAGGACCTCTTGGGCTTGCCACAATTCTGCCTTATAAAAACATACAAACAAGCCTAAATAAGGTGATCAGCTTTTATATGAGCAAACTAAAGAAATAAAAATTAACATTCTCTAGAGGACAATAACGGAATGTAGATTCTTCACAATTCTTTCCTCATATGTTCACCATACAATAAAAAATACTAGATGATCAAAGAAATAGGAAAATGTGATCCATATCCATGGAAAAATGCAATTAATATAAAATAACCCTGACATCTCCCAGATGTCAGATATAACAGAATAAAGCATAATAACTGTTTTCTATGATGAAGTACTTAAGGAAGCCTTAATAAGTCTTAATATGTGAACAGACAGAAAACCTCAGCAGAAAAATGAAAATTATGAAAAGAAACCAAATGGAAATTCTAGATTTAAAATCACAATAAGTGGGCCAGGCACAGCTATAATCCAAGTGCTTTTGCAGGCCAAGGTGGGAGAATCGCATGAGCCCAGGAGTCTGAATCTGGCCTGAGCAACATAGTGAGACCCTGTCTCTACAAAAATAAAAATAAAAATAAATAGCCAGGCGTGGTGGCACACACCTGTAGTTCCAGCTACTGAAGAGGTTGAGGTGGGAGGATAGCCTGAGCCCAGGAGTTTGGAGCTGCAGAGAGCTATGATGTGCCACTGCACTCCAGCTTGGGTGGCAGAGCAAGACCCCGTCTCTAAAAATAAATAAATAATCACTGAAAAAGCACTTACCAGCATATTGGGAATGGCAGAAAAGAGACTCAGTATATTTGACAGATCATTAAAAATATCCAAAATGAAGGAATAAGAATAAAAATTCAAGAAAAATAAATCAAGTTACAGAGCTGTATGGCACAATATTGAGCAATCTAGCATTCACGTAAGTTTATACCCCAAAAGAGAAAATCATGAGAATATAATAGAACAAATATCGAAAAAAGAAATGGTTAAAATGTTCCCAGTTTAATAAAATGATTTGAGTTACTTACTTTCTGAGTTACTCTTACCTTCCTGTAAGAGAAATTCAAGCAAGATAAACAGATAGGAAACCGTGTTTGGGAACATTATAGTTGAACTTCTACATACCAAAGAAAAAGGAAAAATCTTTAAAGCAGCCAAAGAAAAAAGAAAACCAATGAAAAAAAGAAAAAAACACTGTAAAGAAAGGAACAATGAGATGCATGATGAATGACTTTATGTAAGAAATTAGAAGGCCTGAAGAAAAGGAAACATCTTTGAAGTGATGAAAGAATCAATTGAGAATTCCATACACATCAAAGTTATACTTCAATATTAACAGTAAAATAAAGACATTTTGAGATAAAAACTGGGAGAGTTACTTTCCAATAAATCTACCAGTCAAAGCTAGGCACAGTGGCACATGCCTGTAATCCCAGCAATTTGGGATGCCCAGGTGGGTGTTATCGCCTGAGGTTAGGAGTTTGAGAACAGCCTGGGCAACATGGGGAAACCTTGTCTCTACTAAAAATGCAAAAAATTAACTGAGCTTCATAGTGCATGCCTGTAATTCCAGCTAATCGGGAGACTAAGGAGAATTGCTTGAACCCAGGAGGTGGAGGTTGCAGTGAGCCGATATAGCACCACTGCACTCCAGCCTGGGTGACAGATCAAGACTTTGTCTCAAAATAACATAAAATAAAATAAAGTCTGCAAGTTAAGAAATGTTAAATGATGTGCTTCAGGATGAAGGATTTGATGTTTGTTGAAAATGTGACTATATCAGAAAGAATTTATACATAAATGGGTAAATATAAATTTTTTTCTTTTCATAACTTCCCTAAAATACAACTTATGTTAGAGCAACAAATATTTAATATTATAAATATGAAGATACAAAAACAATAGCACGAAGGTTCAGGAAATGGGCTAATGGAATTCTACCATTGTAAGGTTATTGCATTTGTCAAGTTGGAAGTGGGAAGTATAAAATGTGAAGGATACAATCTTGACTCTAAACAAACTTTAATGAATTAAGGACGTATAACTTTTAGCCTTAGACCAATGATGAGAAATGCTTTTAAAGAGATTCTTTTGGCAGATAGACCTGAATTTATCCTAATCATCCTCACCTTCTGGTATTCACACCATGATATAATTCCCTCCTCTCGACTGTAGACAAGACCTATTTTTTGTTTGTAACTGGCAGTATATGACAAACATGATGGTTTATCACTCCTGTGATTATGTTATAGTGTATAAGACTCCATCTTGCTCACAGACTTGCTCTTTCTATCCTGCTGGCTTTGATGAAGTAGGATCCATGTTGTGAACTGTCTCTGAACAGGGCCATATGGCAGGGAACTGCAAGTGTATTTGTTGGGAGAAAAGCTGAGTGTTGGAAGAGAAGCTGAGGCACGGCTTGCATGTCTGCTAGACTTGCTGGCTCCTTGTTTCTAGCACTCCCATTATCTCAAGCAGCCATGTTTCCCATTCACTTGATACACTGTTTCCTTTCAACCCCCACATCCTCACCACCTGTTTGTCTGTTTGAGCACTACTAAATAGTGTGGGCTCCCAGAGCTCGGGGACTTTGCAGTCTCCACACTCACGATAGCCCCCTGGTCCCACTTTCTCTCTCAAACTGTCTTTTTCTCATTCCTTTGACTCTGCTGGACTTCATAGCCCCCATGACCTGGTGTTGGGTCTGATCACACCAACAGTACTGGACTAGTCAAGGGTGGCTTCAAGTAAGAACCTGAAATCCTCAGACACAGCCATAAGAAAATGAATTCTGCCAACAACCTGAATGTGCTCAGAAGTGAATTCTTCCCTAGCCAAATCTTCATGTGAGTTTGCAGTTTGGCTGACATGGTGATTGCAGTCTTCTAGAATTTTGATCAGATGGCAGAGCTAAGCCACGCCTGGACTTCTGACGCATAGAAACAGTTTTAAAATCAATCATCATGTCATAAGTTTATCTATGTAACAAACCTGCATTTGTACCCCTGAACTGAAAAGTTAAAAAAAAAATTGATAACTTAGATAAAACTGACAAATTTGTTGAAAACTACAACTTAAAATTTGCACACGAATAATTGAAATCTGAATAGGTCTGTACCTAAAAATTAATTTGTAGTCATAGTAATTTCCAAAATGAAAATCATGGAAGGTTTATGTGGCAAATTCTACCATTTAAGGAAAAAATATGTCAACTTACATAAATTCCAAAACAAAAGAAGAGGAAATAATTTCTGACTTATTTACTGAAGCAGGTATAACTTAACACCAAAACCAGATAAAGATATTATAAGAAAGTGTAAGCCAATATCCTTTAAGAATATAGAAGCAAAAATGTGCCTTAAAATATTAGCGAATTTAAACCAGAACTGTATGAAGAGAAACTACATCATGGCTAAATGAGCATTTATCAACAATTCTAAAATCATCAATGAAAGTTATCGCATTATCAAAATAAAAGAGAAAAATCATATCTCAATAGATGTAGAAAAATTATTTGACAAAATCATGCCTATTCATGATCAAATAATTCAGCACATTAGGGATAGAAGGAAATTTTATAAACTTGTAAAAGTCATATATGAAAAGCCTCCATCTAGCATCATATTTTATGGTGAAATATCAAGAAATTTCTTTCTAAGATTGGGAATGAGACATGAATATCCATTTGTACAATTTTTACTCAATATTATTCTTGCAATAACATTTCTAAATATGATTTCTAAATAACAAATCTCATTTCTAAATCTGCATTAGTTCTCCAATGTAACTGCAACAAATTACCACAGATTAGTAGCTTAAAACAATACAAATTTATTCTCATAGTTTTGGACGTCAGAAGTCTAAAAAGAAGGTGTCAGCAGGGCCGTGTTCCTTCTGGAACCTTTGGAGGTTTTCTTTATGTTTCCAGCTTCTAATGGCTACCTGCATTCCTTGGTTCCCAGGTTCTCTCCATTTTCAAAGCACATCACTCTGACCTCTAGTTCTGTCACATATATATATATATTATTTGATCCTTCTACTTCCATTTTTTAACAAACTTATTCATTACATTGAACCTACATGAATAATTCAGAATAATTTTTCTAACTCAAAATTCTTAGCTTAATCACATCTGCAAAGTCTCATCTGCCACATAAGGTAATATATTTATAGGTCCCAGGAATTAGAATGTGAAGATCTTTGGGAAAGACTGTTATTCAGTCAAACTCAATAAACACCATGGAGGAAAAACCTATAGCTAGTATTACACTTAATGGTGAAATATTGAGCATTTTCACCATAAGAATGGGAATAAGACAAGGATGTTCAGTGTAGTTATCTCAAAGGTTTAGACATTACTTGGAAGCTTAGGCTCCCAGGTGAAATCAGTTAGGCTTCTTGTGACCCAGCTATATAAGTCATACCACATAATTTCTTCCACAGTCTATTGTTTATGCCAGTCCCAAGGAGAGGGGTTATTAATTCTATCTCTTAGGTGGGGATAGCAGAAATTTGTTACCATCTTTAATCTATCACATTTTCCATTCTCCTCAAATTGATTAATAGATTCACCATAATTTCAATAAAAATTACAACATACTGTTTTTTCTTTTGATAGAGATTAGCAGACTAATTCTAAAGCTCAAAATAGAAATGCAAAGGACCTAGGATTACTCAAATAATTCTGAAAAATAAGAACACACTTGGGAGATATACATTACCTTATTTCAATACTTAAATGAAAGTTGTAGTTCAAGACTATAAAGTATTTATGTGATGACAGAGTCCAGACCTGTGGATACATGGCATATTGATTTTCAAAAGTTATCCCTGTGATGAGGGATAATGGTATTATCAACAAGTGTTGCTGGAACAACTAGATATTTGATGAAAAAATATGAACCATGACCTCAGTTGAAACCATACATAGAAAAATAAAAAGTTATCATAGACCTAAATGCAAATCTACAAGTATAAAACTTGTTGAAGGAATCCTAGAAGATATCTTCATGATATTGAGATGGACAAAGATTATTAGATAGGATACAAAAAGCATGAAACATAAAAGGAAAGGTAGATTTGATTCATTAAAATAAAAAATATTTGACTCTTCAAATGACATTCTTGAGAAAATTAAATGATAAGCCACTTACATGGAGGTAATATTTGTAAGACATATATTTGACAAAGTTCTTGTATTTAGAATACAACTCAATAATAATAATAAAATAACACAATTAAAATAAATGGGCAAAATATTTTAATCAACACTTAAAAATGGATGACATATGAATGGAAAATAAGCACATACAAATATTTTCAAGATTTTATTCATCAAAGATATGCAAATTAAAACTACAATGAGATGATACTTCACAGACACTGGAGTAGCAAAAATTAAAAACTATTAGTGAGGCTGTTGATGAATAACTGCAAATCTCATAAATTACTGGAAAAGATGTAAAATGTTATAAACACTTTGGGAGACTCCTCGGTTGTTTCATGTAAACAGAGTCTTACCATTTGGCCCAGTCATTAATTTCTTTTCTAAAAATTTACCCCCCAAAATAACAACCTATATCCACCAAGATGATTGTGTGCAAATGTTTATACTGGCTTTACTCATATTATCACAAACTGGAAACAACCCAAATGTCTATCACTAAGTGAATCGATTAAATAGATTGTGGTATATTCATATAGTGGACTGCTACTTAACAATAAAACAAATTAACATGGGCAAAACAACATATATGACTCCCAAAAATATTATGCTGAACAAAGAAGTCACTCCCAGGAATGCACATTATGTATTTTTTTCACTTATATAAATTGCTAGAAAAATGCACCATGATAGAGCTTATTCTGGGCCATAAAGCAAGTCAGTAAATGGAACAGAATTACGGTCATACAAAAATATATTCTCCGACTTCAATGTAATTAAATTAAGAATAAACTATGATATCCAGGAAAACCCCCAAGTAACATAAAATCAAATAACACTTTTAAATAGTTGATGGCTCAAAAACAAAATCACAAGGGAAGTGGAAAATATTATCAACTGAATCATAATGAAAATACAATATATTGAAATCTGCTGGATGCAGTTAAAGCCGTCCTTAGAGAGAAATTTACAGGTTTACGTGCTTATATTAGAAAAGAAGAAAGTTCTCAAATTAATGATCTCTGTTTTTACCTTAAAAAGTCAAAAGAAGAATGACAAGGAAAAGAGAAGAAAGAAGGAGACAAAGACGAGGAGCAACAAAAACTCTCAATGTAAATAGAAAAAAAGATTCAATGAAGACAGCAAAAATCAACAGAATAGAAAACAGAATGTTGAGAAAATTAATGAAACCGTAAGTTTTTTTTAATTACCACAAAAAGATGAACTAAAACTAGATGGATCAATAGCAAAAGAAGGATATCAAATTATCAATATCAGGAGGAAAAATAGGCTATCAGTAAAATCTGTGGATTTAAAATGATAAAAAGGGGATATTATGAACAACTTTATGCCAACAACTTTAATGACTTAGAGGAAGTGGATAATTTTCTGTAAAAATACAATCTTCTAGAACTGATAAAGATAAAACAAAAAATAAGAATAACCCAATATCTACAAAGAAATTGAATTTGTTACTAAAAACCTTTCCACATAAAACCTGTACATGAATGTTCATATCAACTGTACTTATAATTCCTCAAAGCTAGAACAAAGCCAGATATGCATCAATGTGAGAATAAACACATTGTGTAATACTTATATAACTAAATAATACTTAGAACTAAAAATAAAGGACCTATGGATACAATATTAATATTAAAAAATTACTCAAAAGATTATATACTGTTTACTCCATGTATGTAAAATTCTGGCATTAGTAAAATGGAATAGATGAATTGTTGCCTTGAAGATGAGTGGCAGCAGAGAATGTCTCTGATGGGATCCGAGGAATTTCCTGGGGTTATAGTAATGTTTAATAATGTGAAAAAATTGGGATTATATAGGCATATGCATCTATCAAAGTTCAGTAAACACACACTTACCTTTGTATAACTCATATATTAATTTTATTTTTTTATAATTTTATTTATTTATTTATTTTTTATTATACTTTAAGTTTTAGGGTACATGTGCACATTGTGCAGGTTAGTTACATAGGTATACATGTGCCATGCTGGTGCGCTGCACCCACTAACTCCTCATCCAGCATTAGATATATCTCCTAATGCTATCCCTCCCGCATCCCCCCACCCCACAACAGTCCCCAGAGTGTGATATTCCCCTTCCTGTGTCCATGTGATCTCATTGTTCAATTCCCACCTATGAGTGAGAATATGCGGTGTTTGGTTTTTTGTTCTTGCGGTAGTTTACTGAGAATGATGGTTTCCAGCTTCATCCATGTCCCTACAAAGGACATGAACTCATCATTTTTTATGGCTGCATAGTATTCCATGGTGTATATGTGCCACATTTTCTTAATCCAGTCTATCATTGTTGGACATTTGGGTTGGTTCCAAGTCTTTGCTATTGTGAATAATGCCGTAATAAACATAAGTGTGCATGTGTCTTTATAGCAGCATGATTTACAGTCCTTTGGGTATATACCCAGTAATGGGATGGCTGGGTCAAATGGTATTTCCAGTTCTAGATCCCTGAGGAATCACCACACTGACTTCCACAATGGTTGAACTAGTTTACAGTCCCACCAACAGTGTAAAAGTGTTCCTATTTCTCCACATCCTCTCCAGCACCTGTTGTTTCCTGACTTTTTAATGATTGCCATTCTAACTGGTGTGAGATGGTATCTCATTGTGGTTTTGATTTGCATTTCTCTGATGGCCAGTGATGATGAGCATTTTTTCATGTGTTTTTTGGCTGCATAAATGTCTTCTTTTGAGAAGTGTCTGTTCATGTCCTTCGTCCACTTTTTGATGGGGTTGTTTGTTTTTTTCTTGTAAATTTGTTTGAGTTCTTTGTAGATTCTGGATATTAGCCCTTTGTCAGATGAGTAGGTTGCGAAAATTTTCTCCCATTTTGTAGGTTGCCTGTTCACTCTGATGGTAGTTTATTTTGCTGTGCAGAAGCTCTTTAGTTTAATTAGACCCCATTTGTCAATTTTGGCTTTTATTGCCATTGCTTTTGGTGTTTTAGACATGAAGTCCTTGCCCATGCCTATGTCCTGAATGGTAATGCCTAGGTTTTCTTCTAGGGTTTTTATGGTTTTAGGTCTAACGTTTAAGTCTTTAATCCATCTTGAATTGATTTTTGTATAAGGTGTAAGGAAGGGATCCAGTTTCAGCTTTCTACATATGGCTAGCCAGTTTTCCCAGCACCATTTATTAAATAGGGAATCCTTTCCCCATTGCTTGTTTTACTCAGGTTTGTCAAAGATCAGATAGTTGTAGATATGCGGCGTTATTTCTGAGGGCTCTGTTCTGTTCCATTGATCTATATCTCTGTTTTGGTACCAGTACCATGCTGTTTTGGTTACTGTAGCCTTGTAGTATAGTTTGAAGTCAGGTAGTGTGATGCCTCCAGCTTTGTTCTTTTGGCTTAGGATTGACTTGGCGGTGCGGGCTCTTTTTTGGTTCCATATGAAGTTTAAAGTAGTTTTTTCCAGTTCTGTGAAGAAAGTCATTGGTAGCTTGATGGGGATGGCATTGAATCTGTAAATTACCTTGGGCAGTATGGCCATTTTCACGATATTGATTCTTCCTACCCATGAGCATGGAATGTTCTTCCATTTGTTTGTATCCTCTTTTATTTCCTTGAGCAGTGGTTTGTAGTTCTCCTTGAAGAGGTCCTTCACATCCCTTGTAAGTTGGATTCCTAGGTATTTTATTCTCTTTGAAGCAATTGTGAATGGGAGTTCACTCATGATTTGGCTCTCTGTTTGTCTGTTGTTGGTGTATAAGAATGCTTGTGATTTTTGTACATTGATTTTGTATCCTGAGACTTTGCTGAAGTTGCTTATCAGCTTAAGGAAATTTTGGGCTGAGACACTGGGGTTTTCTAGATAAACAATCATGTCATCTGCAAACAGGGATAATTTGACTTCCTCTTTTCCTAATTGAATACCCTTTATTTCCTTCTCCTGCCTCATTGCCCTGGCCAGAACTTCCAACACTTTGTTGAATAGGAGTGGTGAGAGAGGGCATCCCTGTCTTGTGCCAGTTTTCAAAGGGAATGCTTCCAGTTTTTGCCCATTCAGTATGATATTGGCTGTGGGTTTGTCATAGATAGCTGTTATTATTTTGAAATACGTCCCATCAATACCTAATTTATTGAGAGTTTTTAGCATGAAGGGTTATTGAATTTTGTCAAAGGCTTTTTCTGCATCTATTGAGATAATCATGTGGTTTTTGTCTTTGGCTCTGTTTATATGCTGGATTACATTTACTGATTTGCGTATATTGAACCAGCCTTGCATCCCAGGGATGAAGCCCACTTGTTCATGGTGGATAAGCTTTTTGATGTGCTGCTGGATTCGTTTTGCCAGTGTTTTATTGAGGATTTTTGCATCAATGTTCATCAAGGATATTGGTCTAAAATTCTCTTTTTTTGTTGTGTCTGGGCCAGGCTTTGGTATCAGAATGATGCTGGCCTCATAAAATGAGTTAGGGAGGATTCCCTCTTTTTCTGTTGATTGGAATAGTTTCAGAAGGAATGGTACTAGTTCCTCCTTGTACCTCTGGTAGAATTTGGCTGTGAATCCATGCGGTCCTGGACTCTTTTTGGTTGGTAAGCTATTGATTATTGCCACAATTTCAGCTCCTGTTATTGGTCTATTCAGAGATTCAACTTCTTCCTGGTTTAGTCTTGGGAGAGTGTATGTGTCCAGGAATTTATCCATTTCTTCTCGATTTTCTAGTTTATTTGCGTAGAGGTGTTTGTAGTATTCTCTGATGGTAGTTTATATTTCTGTGGGATCGGTGATGATATCCCCTTTATCATTTTTATTGCGTCTATTTGAGTCATCTCTTTTTTTTCTTTATTAGTCTTGCTAGCGGTCTATCAATTTTGTTGATCCTTTCAAAAAACCAGCTTCTGGATTCATTAATTTTTTGAAGGGTTTTTTGTGTCTCTATTTCCTTCAGTTCTGCTCTGATTTTAGTTATTTCTTGCCTTCTGCTAGCTTTTGAATGTGTTTGCTCTTGCTTTTCTAGTTCTTTTAATTGTGATGTTAGGGTGTCAATTTTGGATCTTTCCTGCTTTCTCTTGTGGGCATTTAGTGCTATAAATTTCCCTCTACACACTTCTTTGAATGTGTCCCAGAGATTCTGGTATGTTGTGTCTTTGTTCTCGTTGGTTTCAAAGAATATCTTTATTTCTGCCTTCATTTCATTATGTACCCAGTAGTCATTCAGGAGCAGGTTGTTCAGTTTCCATGTAGTTGAGCGGTTTTGAGTGAGATTCTTAATCCTGAGTTCTAGTTTGATTGCACTGTGGTCTGAGAGATAGTTTGTTATAATTTGTGTTCTTTTACATTTGCTGAGGAGAGCTTTACTTCCCAGTATGTGGTCAATTTTGGAATAGGTGTGGTGTGGTGCTGAAAAAAATGTATATTCTGTTGATTTGGGGTGGAGAGTTCTGTAGATGTCTATTAGGTCCGCTTGTTGCAGAGCTGAGTTCAATTCCTGGGTATCCTTGTTGACTTTCTGTCTCGTTGATCTGTCTAATGTTGACAGTGGGGTGTTAAAGTCTCCCATTATTAATGTGTGGGAGTCTAAGTCTCTTTGTAGGTCACTCAGGACTTGCTTTATGAATCTTGGTGCTCCTGTTATGGGTGCATATATATTTAGGATAGTTAGCTCTTCTTGTTGAATTGATCCCTTTACCATTATGTAATGGCCTTCTTTGTCTCTTTTGATCTTTGTTGGTTTAAAGTCTGTTTTATCAGAGACTAGGATTGCAACCCCTGCCTTTTTTTGTTTTCCATTGGCTTGGTAGATCTTCCTCCATCCTTTTATTTTGAGCCTATGTGTGTCTCTGCACGTGAGATGGGTTTCCTGAATACAGCACACTGATGGGTCTTGACTCTTTATCCAATTTGCCAGTCTGTGTCTTTTAATTGGAGCATTTAGTCCATTTACATTTAAAGTCAATATTGTTATGTGTGAATTTGATCCTGTCATTATGATGTTAGCTGGTTATTTTGCTCGTTAGTTGATGCAGTTTCTTCCTAGTTTCGATGGTCTTTACATTTTGGCATGATTTTGCAGTGGCTGGTACCTGTTGTTCCTTTCCATGTTTAGTGCTTCCTTCAGGAGCTCTTGTAAGGCAGGCCTGATGGTGACAAAATCTCTCAGCATTTGCTTGTCTGTAAAGTATTTTATTTCTCCTTCACTTATGAAGCTTAGTTTGGCTGGATATGAAATTCTGGGTTGAAAATTCTTTTCTTTAAGAATGTTGAATATTGGCCCCCACTCTCTTCTGGCTTGTAGGGTTTCTGCCGAGAGATCCGCTGTTAGTCTGATGGGCTTCCCTTTGAGGGTAACCCGACCTTTCTGTCTGGCTGCCCTTAACATTTTTTTCTTCATTTCAACTTTGGTGAATCTGACAATTATGTGTCTTGGAGTTGCTCTTCTCGAGGAGTATCTTAGTGGCGTTCTCTGTATTTCCTGAATCTGAACGTTGGCCTGTCTTGCTAGATTGGGGAAGTTCTCCTGGATAATATCCTGCAGAGTGTTTTCCAACTTGGTTCCATTCTCCCCGTCACTTTCAGGTACACCAATCAGACGTAGATTTGGTCTTTTCACATAGTACCATGTTTCTTGGAGGCTTTGCTCATTTCTTTTTATTCTTTTTTCTCTAAACTTCCCTTCTCGCTTCATTTCATTCATTTCATCTTCCATCGCTGATACCCTTTCTTCCAGTTGATCACATCAGCTCCTGAGGCTTCTGCATTCTTCACGTAGTTCTCGAGCCTTGGTTTTCAGCTCCATCAGCTCCTTTAAGCACTTCTCTGTGTTAGTTATTCTAGTTATACATTCTTCTAAATTTTTTTCAAAGTTTTCAACTTCTTTGCCTTTGGTTTGAATGTCCTCCCGTAGCTCAGAGTAATTTGATTGTCTGAACCCTTCTTCTCTCAGCTCGTCAAAGTCATTCTCCATCCAGCTTTGTTCCGTTGCTGGTGAGGAACTGCGTTCCTTTGGGGGAGGAGAGGCGCTCTGCTTTTTAGAGTTTCCAGTTTTTCTGTTCTGTTTTTTCCCCATCTTTCTGGTTTTATCTACTTTTGGTCTTTGATGATGGTGATGTACAGGTGGGTTTTTGGTGTGGATGTCCTTTCTGTTTGTTAGTTTTCCTTCTAACAGACAGGACCCTCAGCTGCAGGTCTGTTGGAATACCCTGCCGCTTGTGAGGTGTCAGTGTGCCCCTGCTGGGGGGTGCCTCCCAGTTAGGCTGCTCGGGGGTCAGGGGTCAGGGACCCACTTGAGGAGGCAATCTGCCCGTTCTCAGATCTCCAGCTGCGTGCTGGGAGAACCACTGCTGTCTTCAAAGCTGTCAGACAGGGACATTTAAGTCTGCAGAGGTTACTGCTGTCTTTTTGTTTGTCTGTGCCCTGCCCCCAGAGGTGGAGCCTACAGAGGCAGGCAGGCCTCCTTGAGCTGTGGTGGGCTCCACCCAGTTCCAGATTCTGGGCTGCTTTGTTTACCTAATCAAGCCTGGGCAATGGCGGGCGCCCCTCCCCCAGCCTCGCTGCAGCCTTGCAGTTCGATCTCAGACTGCTGTGCTAGCAATCAGCGAGACTCCGTGGGTGTAGGACCCTCCGAGCCAGGTGCGGGATATAATCTCGTGGTGCGCCGTTTTTTATGCCCGTTGGAAAAGCGCAGTATTCGTGTGGGAGTGACCCGATTTTCCAGGTGCTGTCCGTTACCCCTTTCTTTGACTCAGAAAGGGAACTCCCTGACCCCTTGCGCTTCCGAAGTGAGGCAATGCCTCGCCCTGCTTCGGCTCGCGCACGGTGCGCCCACCCACTGACCTGTGCCCACTGTCTGGCACTCCCTATTGAGATGAACCCGGTACCTCAGCTGGAAATGCAGAAATCACCCGTTTTCTGCGTCGCTCACTCTGGGAGCTGTAGACCGGAGCTGTTCCTATTCGGCCATCTTGGCTCCTCCAGCAATTTTATTTTTTAAAAAAACTCTTCAAGTACTGAACTTTTATTATTGATGTGCATACTGAAATATTTAGGGGAAATTAATGCCTGCAATTTACATCGTATGGACAAGGGAGATGATATATGAATACGTATGTAATAACATGAGTTTAGTAAAATGTTAATATAGAACCTAGATTGTGTGAATGTAAGAGTTCACTATACAAATCTTCCAACATGACTGTATATGTGCTTGTGTGTGTGTATGTTGTGTGTGTTTGTGTGTATACCAATGTGTTGGTTAACAACATGGATATGTTCTGAGAAATATATCGTTAGGTGATTTCACCACTGTGTGAACACCATAGAGTGTACTTACACAAACCTATGTGGTATAGTCTACTAGACACCCAGGCTATACAGTAATATTGTCTATTGCAGCTAGGCTTTTCCAACTGTCTATTGTAATGGTATGTTACCGCATTAAATACTGTAGGCAATTGTAACATAATTGTAAGTATTTGTGTATCTACACATAGAAAAGTTGTAGTAATATGATTGAAAAAATAAAAAATGATACACCTGTATAGGGTACTTACCAGGAACAGAGACTGCAGATCTAAAGTTCCTCTAGGTGAGTCGGTGAGTGTGAATGGGAAGGCCTAGGATATTACTGTATATTACTGTAAACTTATTTATAAACACTGTAAACTTAGGCTACACTAAATTTATTTTTAAAATATTTTCTCTTCCACAATAAATAAATAGCTTACTGTAACTTTTCTAATTTATAAACTTAATTTTTTAACTTATGGATTCATTTGAAATGAAGCTTAAAACACAGACACATTGAACAGCTGTACAAAAATATTTTCTTATTCTATAAACCTTTTTGTATTTTTATTTTTTAAATTTTTATTACTTTTCACTTTCTAAATTGGTTTGCTGTAACTAAGACACACATACATAAGCATAGGCCTGCACAGGGTCAGGATCATCAAGATATCGCTAGACAACAGAAATCTGTTAGCTCCATTATGTTATGGGAGCATCATCATATATGCAGTTCATTACTGATGGAAACATTATGTGGCGCGTGACGGTGTATATATATATTTGCTTTCACATTAACTAACAGACTTTAGAGAAGTGTTTGCATCCCTAGGAAACATTACCTTTGAAGTTCTCTTTTCCCATCAGAGAATCAAGAGTAATAATATGAGATAACATCTTAGGTTTTTAGTCTTCTGCTACTCCTGATTTAACTAGGCACAGTCAAAATATCTTCAGTACAGCAATGCAATTCAATAGGAAAATACGGCTTTTCTTTATCTCTTCTTGTCAATTACAACACATAGCTTTATATTTGTGGTAGATTTTCTTCAAGAAACTGTGTTTTATTTCTTGGTGATTTACACTAGCAATTATGTTAGAGGACTGGGGCTGGAGATGCTAAATTTCTTGGATGCAGAATTAAGTCAAAGATGAAATGGAAGCCAATCTCAATAAATAGCATAATTTGTCATGTACGAATGAATTACCTTATGCCAAAAAAATCCTTTTCTAATTTGATATTGCTTTGCCTTTGAAACTTTCATTTCTTGCCATTACTTTTTTTGGCATATTCCATATTCTCACTATAAATAGCATATATCATCTTTTAATTCAACAGTATTTACATTTATCAGGTCTTTTAGTGCTACATGTTTGTAACTTTAAATATGATCACATCAAAAAAATAGAAGACAGAAGAAAGAAAAAGAAATTACTAAATTACACAGTACCCTGAATGCTAATTTCAGGGAGTATCCAACAGATTAAAAATGTCAAACCGGTAACATTGTGTTAGTGGGATTTTCTTTAACAATGATACTGATTTTTTTTTTTTTTGCTTTAACAACATAACAGATTCTATCTCAGGCACTGGGACTTGCGAAAATTTAAGAATACAGAATGATAGGATTGAGAAAAGGAAGACAAACTGGTCAGAGGAAAAATGAAGAATCACAGGCTGGAAAGAAATAATAGATATGAAGATGCAGGTTGATAGAAAGGCTTAAAAATGAATAAAAGATTAATATAAGGTAAAGTAAATGAAGAAATTTCTTTAGATGCTGAATTTTTTTTACAATTTGGATGGCAATTACGATAGTAACAATACACAAAATAGTAATCCATTTTTTTCTTTAAGTTTTCCCTAGCTCCAGTATTTAGGAGATCCCCATTTGATGGTATTCAAGTGAATTAAGCACATTTGTTTAGCTTCAAGGAAAATAGACTCCTAGTGTGAAAAAGAAAGAGGTTTTCCAGTAAATGATTTTAATAAGTAGAAGGTAATACAAAGTAAAGACGCTTGAACGATTAAAATACATAAAAGTGTGATAGTGAAATGCATTGCTATTTTCTAGTTCCTATTTTCTGTGGGCCAGGCGCAGTGGCTCACGCCTATAATGCCAGCACTTTGGGAGGCCGAGGCAGGTGGATCACCTGAGGTCAGGAGTTTGAGACCAGCCTGACCAACATGGAGAAACCTCACCTCTACTAAAAATACAAAATTAGCCGGGCGTGATGAAGCATTCCTGTAATCCCAGCTACTCTGGAGGCTGAGGCAGGAGAATCTCTTGAACCCGGGAGGCGGAGAATCGCACGCCATTGCACTCCAGCTGGGCAAGAAAAGCGAAACTCCGTCTCAAAAAAAAAAAAAAAAGAAAAAGAAAAGAAAAGAAAAAGAAAAGAAAAGAAAAAGAAAAGATTTGTGTGTGTGTCTGTGTGTGTGTGTGTGTGTGTGAGTGAAAGCAGATATATGATCAATCTTTAAAAATTGCCTATGTTGGGAAATGGGAAACTTGTGCATCAGCTTTCTCACAGGAGAAGACCAAGTGATGATGGTCTATTGATGTTAGTACATTAAAAATTATATTGTAGTTTTTTTTTAAAATACAACTTTAGCTTCTATTATTTAAAATTGTTTACAAACAAGTAACCAGTCTTTCTCTGTTGCATCTCTGTCAAGTTTCCCTCTCTATTTGTTCCTTTTTAGACTCAATTCCCAGTTCCAGCCCTTAGGATTGCTCGCTCTACTTTTCCATGTTTACTTCTTCCAGATCTTTTCCTCATTTGCATGAATCGGCACTAAAATAAAAATAAACAAAATGTATGACATCTTGTCTATAGACTTGTGCATGTGTGCTTGAGCCTGAGTATGTTTATGAAGGGAGGAAGCATGGAGAAGGGAACAAGAAAAGATGGTGTTAAAAAAAATGTCATGATATTGCTGCAAGTTCTTATTACAAGTGACAGAGGAGTTACTGACAATGGAATAAGAAAAAGACAAAAAAAGAGAAAAAAATAATGTTTTCATTTCTTGATGAAGGGGAAATTCTCACCTTCAGAAAAGGTGATCTGGAGATTTTGGGTCAATATTCATATAAAATAAAATTTTGGGACACTGGATTCTACATTAGAAGCAGAAGAACAATTATAATTGTGTAACAAAGATAGAAAGGGACTCTAAGAAAATAAACTGAAATAAACTAGGCAAGTGCTGACTAGTGATTTTAAGTAAAGATGAGAATAACATGACTTATCAATTGCTAAAGGACAAAGACAGGTGGGTGAACATAGAAGTAGGATCTATACAAAGGAAGAAGGGAGCCTTGGGAAAGTATGCTATAATATTTATTTCTGTTTTTAAAAAAGGAGGTGTAACAAAGCTGGAAGTTTTACTAAGTGAAGGGTTTTCTCAGAAAAGAAAATGGAAAAAAATCTTGGGAACGGAGGAGTTGATCAAAAAAGTTTAGTCTACAAGTCCAGGGAGGATTTGTAAGCTCTCAATCTGATAGGATTTGAAGATAAAAGGAGTAATTCAGTGAAGAGGTTAGAGCAAATAGTTGATTATTGTTCCACTTTGTGTAATCATGTAGTGGCTTGGCCTTAGGATGACCTTCTAAAGTTTAGAGAATCTCGAGAGCAAAATTGTACCAGGGGGAACTATAATAGTTAGAAGTGAAAATTCGACTTTGCTAGTCTAAGGTTCAGCATAAGGGTGAATTCTAGCAATTTTCCATAATCATTATTCATCAAAGACCACAGACTTAACCATAGGGCTATATTTGAGGTCGACAAAGCGGAGAAGACACAGACCCTAGAAATAAATCAGAGTATAGGTGAGGTGGGTGATATTTCAAAGCCATATGACAAAGATTTTTTGTTATTGTTTTTCTTCTTTTTTAAGCATAGAAGAAAGACAGCATTCTCAAAGCCTTCAGAGGGAGTTAGTCATTTAAAGCAGCATCTGACAGTTCAGGCAAAGAGGTCACGGGGAAGCTACTGATCTGAACAAGTGGACATTAGATTGCTGCGAAGAATTAGATATTCTTTACAGACTCAGTCAGGTCTGCACCCTACTTTTAGTGGCTTTAGTGACCCATGTATGATCCAGTAAGATGACCTTCTATTCCAAATGTGTTATTCTTTGAGTAGATTACACACTTTTCTAAGAGTCTCTGCTTACTTGCTGGGAGTCGATACAGTAGAAAAAAGGAAATAATGGATTTAGCTAGGAGCTGGAAATGATGGTGGCTCCATTTTAAGACAGAGAAGTAAAGAAGCCCTCAGCACTGAATACTGAAGAACGTATGCCAGTGGAGCCCATACGCAATAGTCCTTTACAAAGAGAGGACATCAGAGTCACATTTTCTTACTGCACATGTTACTTGATGATTGTGATAAATTGTTTTTTTTTTTTTAAACTGCAGTCATGACTAGACAAGGAAGAGATCATTTATTGAAACTTCCGAAATAGTCTGACCTTCCCCTAAGGCTTTGCTTGTATACATATGTTCAACAACTCTCATGACTTAATAACTAATCTTGCCACGTTAATCTCAGCAACAAGTTTTCGAGGCTACTAAATGTTATATATTAAATTAACATTGTAATATGACACTTTATCCTATATTGATTTTTCTCATTGTTGCAGAACAACACAGTTCCCTTTAGTGTTGAAAAATTCCCAGATTCAGAAAGAAAAAGCTGTAGTCATGTCACCATGATCCCTTGGGGTCAGAGATTAGGCCACATCAATAAGCCTAACGAAAAAACCGTTGTAAATTAAAACATAATAGAAGGAAACAAGATTGCCTCCTCTATTTCAAGTGACAAGAAAATGAGGAGGAATACCCCAAAACTCCAGAGTTATGAATTATTCCTACACTTTAGTAAAATAAAGAAATAAACATTTTAAAATGATATTGATTTAAAGATGGCTGTGTTCACAGTATCGATTAGGATGGTTTGTGTGCTTAGATTCTTATAAAGTGAGACTGATGAAATTGTTCCATCAGTTCCATGATATATAACATGGCCTGCTTTATATATATTCCATATATATATGTATAAAATTTATATGTATGCCATGTTTTGTATAATATATAAGGCCATATTATATGTAAGTATATTATATGAATATATGTAATATATATTTATATAGAGAGATGGGGTCTTGATCTGTCACCCAGGCTAGAGTGCAGTGGCGTGATGACAGCTCACTGCACCCTTGAGCTTTTGGGCTCAAGTAATCCTCCTGGCTCAGTGTCCAAAGTAGCTGAGACTACAGGCAGATGCCATCATACGCGGTTAATTTTTTTTTTTTTTTTTGGCAAAGATGGGGTCTTAATATGTTGCCAAGGCTCATGTTAAATATTTCTGTATACTCACCTATTAATGTTTCTCCTTTCAATGTTGGTTGTATTCATTTGTTAAGCTTTGGGTAATCATTTTTATTTTTGATGTATATATCAAATTTTAAAGGTAAATAAAATGTGCATATAGAACATACACATGGTGTTCATGAATTCCTTAGATCTTCAAGTGACTTTATTAAGAATCCTAATTTTTACAGATAATCTTTTTAAAAAAATTGTGCAGCATTTAAGGATTCCTAGAGTAAAATCTGAGATGTGCCATGTATGGATTGCTTGAACTTTGATTATTCTTCCTGCTGCTTTTTAACTTGGTAGGTCCTGTTAATAATTGAACAGGTCACTGTGTATATAGAAAATGTGGATAGGAGTAAGAGAAGAATAAGGAGTGATAGAGAGATAAAGGATCAGTGGAGAGAAAGCAGAAGGTGTATATAGTAAAAAAGTATAAAATAAACCAGAAAACAAGCAAGAAATGCAAAGTAAAGAATTTTAAATAAACTTTGGCTCAAAATATTGTGTCTCTCTAACATGCTACAGAGGAATCAATTTCTAGGCTGCTCTGAAACCAGGATGTGACAGGTGGCTGATCTCCACCCTCTAATAAATCCAGAGCCTCAATTATGGATTGAATTCCTGTCATTCCTTATATTTTTTGTTTACTTTTCACAAGAACTAAAATCAATGGTGTGGTGAGAAGAAAAAATGAGGTGGAGAATAGGGAAGAGAAAATATTATATCGACTAAAGACTATTTCATACAGATTTCCGACTCTCTTAAAAGACCTTGTCCTTCAGCCTGAGTCCATATCTTCTAATGATATTTCTTTTGAGACAGGTGGAACTCACACAGGAAGTAAGAATGTTATTCTAAGCTCATCTCTTTAATTTACTAATTTGTGTATGTTAAGCCCATTTTGAAGAGTACTCTTGGGTTAAAATGTCTTTGAGGTTATACTGCAGGTACCCAAAACAGGGTGTGGTGCTTTTTTGTTTGTTTGTTTTTTGTTTTTGGAGTGGGGGAGAGAGAGAGACACAGAGAGAGAGAGAGAGAGAGATTAACTTCTGACCTACATGGAATTATTTCTGGTCCTAAGAACAATTATCAAGAGGTTAGGGCTTTCTGAAAAGCTGGTTATTGACACGATAAATAAAAGCAGCCCCAAGGTAAACATGTCTGTGTATTTCAAAGTATATAAAACATACCTGAAGAATACAGATGTGCTTTCTTCTAAGATAGCCCTTGAAACACGGAAATTTATTAGTTCACCTTTGCCAGCATATGCTAATGATCAACTATTGAGATACATATTCTATTTTCCTTAGACAACCAATGAGCAACTCTTTGGTGTAAAATTATGGCAGACCAGTTTAAGAATTATTTGTCTGTTGTTTTATTCTAAAGAAATAAGGCATGACTGAAAGGCAGACACCTAAGTCCATAGAAGTCATCCAAATGTTTTTTTAAAAACATATTTGTTATACTTCTAGGCTTGAAAATAAGCCATGGTTCATGTCCCAAAAAAGCAAAGAATTCATGACTAAGACCTCAAAAGCAAATGCAATAAAAACAAAGTAGACAAATGGGACTTAATTAAACTAGAAAATTTCTGCACAGCAAAAGAAATTATCAACAGAGCAAACAGACAACCTGCAGAATGGAAGAAAATATTTGGAAACTATGCATCTGACAAGGAACTAATATCCAGAATCTATAAGAAGCTGAAACAACTCAACAACAATAACAGTGAAAACCCCATTAAAAACTGGGCAAAGGACAAGAACAGACATTTTTCAAATGAAAACATACAAATGGCCAAGAAGCATATGACAAAATGCTCAACATCACTAATCATGAGAGAAATGCAAATTAAATCCACAATGTGATATCTTACACCAGTCAGAATGGCTATTAATAAAACGTCAAAAAATAACAGATGTTGGCAAAGACGTAGAGAAAACGGAACATATATATTCTTGATGAGAATATAAATTAGTACAACACTATGGAAAACAGCATGAAGATTTCTCAAAGAACTACCACTACTGGTAGTTCAAGAGATCCCACTACTGGGTATCTACCTGAAAGGAAAAGAGATCATTATATCAAAAATATAACTGAACTCATTTGTTTATTGTAGTACTATTCACAATAGCAAAGATATGGAAATCAACCTCAGTGTTTATCAGTGGATGACTGCATAAAAAAAATCTTTCATATATACACATAATATACGTATATACATAATATAGGTATATACGTATATACATAATATAGGTATATGCATATATACATACATATAATATACGTATATACGTATATACATACATATATACGTATATACGTATATTATACATGCATATAATATACGTATATACATGCATATAATATACGTATATACATGCATATAATATACGTATATACATGCATATAATATACGTATATACATGCATATAATATACGTATATACATCTACACACATACATATAATATATGTATATACATCTACACACATACATCTAATATGTGTATATACATCTACACACATACATATAATATATGTATATACATCTACACACATACATATAATATATGTATATACATCTACACACATACATATAATATATGTATATACATCTACACACATACATATAATATATGTATATACATCTACACACATACATAAAATATATGTATATACATCTACACACATACATAAAATATATGTATATACATCTACACACATACATATAATATATGTATATACATCTACACACATACATATAATATATGTATATACATCTACACACATACATATAATATATGTATATACATCTACACACATACATATAATATATGTATATACATCTACACACATACATATAATATATGTATATACATCTACACACATACATATAATATATGTATATACATCTACACACATACACATATGTATATACATCTACACACATACACATATGTATATACATATACACACATACACATATGTATATACATATACACACATACACATATGTATATACATATATACACATACACATATGTATATACATATATACACATACACATATGTATATACATATATACACATACACATATGTATATACATATATACACATACACATATGTATATACATATATACACATACACATACATATATGCATATACATATATACACATACATATAATATATGCATATACATATATACACATACATATAACATATGCATATACATATATACACATACATATAACATATGCATATACATATATACACATACATATAACATGCATATACATATATACACATACATATAACATATGCATATACATATATACACATACATATAATATATGCATATACATATATACACATACATATAATATATGTATATATATACACATACATATAATATATGTATATACATATATACACATACATATAATATATGTATATACATATATACACATACATATAATATATGTATATACATATATACACATACATATAATATATGTATATACATATATACACATACATATAATATATGTATATTCCATGGAATACCACCCAGCTGTAAAAAAGAATAAAGTCATGTCTTTTGCAGCAACATAGATGGAACTGGAGGCCATTAAGTGAAATTACTCAGAAATAGTAAGTCAAATACCACATGTTCTCGCTTATAAACGGGAGCTAAATAATGTGTGCACATGGACGCAGAGTGGGGAATAACAGACCTTGTAGACTCAGAAGTGTGGGAGATTGGGAAGGAGTAAGAGATGAGAAATTACACTCTAGGTTCAATGTACATTATTTGAGTGATGGTTACACTAAAAGCCCAGACTTTGCTGCTATGCAATGTATCCATGTAACAAAATTCCGCTTGTACTCCTAAATTTATGCAAGTTTTTAAAAAATTTTTATTTTAGGTATAAGCAAAACAAAACAAAGACACTAAAAATAAATAAACAAAAAAATAAGAGAGCAGGGTCCAGTTTTCAGATAAGAAGGCAGTGGGGGACTTGTGAAAATGCTCATCATCACTGGCCATCAGAGAAATGCAAATCAAAACCACTATGAGATACCATCTCACACCAGTTAGAATGGCAATCATTAAAAAGTCAGGAAACAACAGGTGCTGGAGAGGATGTGGAGAAATAGGAACACTTTTACACTGTTGGAGGGACTGTAAACTAGTTCAACCATTGTGGAAGTCAGTGTGGCGATTCCTCAGGGATCTAGAACTAGAAATACCATTTGACCCAGCCATCCCATTACTGGGTATATACCCAAATGACTGTAAATCATGCTGCTATAAAGACACATGCACACGTATGTTTATTGCGGCATTATTCACAATAGCAAAGACTTGGAACCAACCCAAATGTCCAACAATGATAGACTGGATTAAGAAAATGTGGCACATATACACCATGGAATACTATGCAGCCATAAAAAATGATGAGTTCATGTCCTTTGTAGGGACATGGATGAAATTGGAAATCATCATTCTCAGTAAACTATCGCAAGAACAAAAAACCAAACACTGCATATTCTCACTCATAGGTGGGAATTGAACAATGAGATCACATGGACACAGGAAGGGGAATATCACACTCTGGGGACTGTTGTGGGGTGGGGGGAGGGGGGAGGGATAGCATTGGGAGATATACCTAATGTAAATGACGAGTTAGTGGGTGCAGCACACCAGCATGGCACATGTATACATATGTAACTAACCTGCACAATGTGCACATGTACCCTAAAACTTAAAGTATAATAAAAAAAAAAAACAAACAACAACAACAACAACAAAGAAAAGAAAATTCTTACGTGTTCTTGATGATATTATGCATTACATTTTTTACATTCAATTGAAGCACAAGTAATTAAGTGATCAAGCACATGCAGAGTAGAAAGTGATTGCTTTACGTTAGAGAAAAGCCAAGGGGATTTGTGGCACAATCTGGCATAGGATTTTGTATGCTCTGATCACCATTTTCTACTTAATTTTCTTTTAGAACTGTTAGAGACACAATTAAAATAGATTCTCTCAACTCCCCAGTGTGTGGATAATTTTACTGCCTTTTAGGCCCAAAATGGAAAGCCTGAATTGTTGAATGACATTTACGTTGATAGATAAATGTCTCTCTTCAATTGTGGTATTTCTATCATTTCTAGTGATTTCAATAGCACTGAGATACAAAAGGACAATAAATCTGATAAGAAAAGTAAAAAAACATTTCCCCTCATTACTTTTTACTTTTTAACTCCTTCCATCTCCTACTACCCAGGCTAAGGCCAGCTATAAGTTGTAGATAATATAATTAGCCTCAGATGGGAAAGTAACTCTGTCTACCTAGAGGTGAGAATGTTATGATGTTCCATTATACTTCGCAGTAACAATAGTAATAATAGCATTGCTACAACATCACAAAATATGCATGAGTACAATACAATTATGTGTGGCAATATCATTTGCAAATATATGCAATTTTTTAAATTATTATACTTTAAGTTCTAGGGTACATGTGCACAACGTGCAGGTTTGTTACATATGTATACATGTGCCATGTTGGTGTGCTGCACCCATTAACTCGTCATTTACATTAGGTGTATCTCCTAATGCTATCCCTCCCCACTCCCCCGACCCCACAACAGGCCCTGGTGTGTGATGTTCCCCTTCCTGTGTCCAAGTGTTCTCATTGTTCAATTCCCACCTATGAGTGAGAACATGCAGTGTTTGGTTTTTTGTCCTTGTGATAGTTTGCTTAGAATGATGGTTTCCAGCTTCATCCATGTCCCTACAAAGGACATGAATGCATCCTTTTTATGGCTGCATAGTATTCCATGGTGTACATGTGCCACATTTCCTTAATCTAGTCTATCATTGATGGACATTTGGGTTGGTTCTAAGTCTTTGCTATTGCGAATAGTGCTGCAATAAACATATGTGTGCATGTGTCTTTATAACAGCATGATTTATAATCCTTTGTGTACATACCCAGTAATGGGATGGCTGGGTCAAATGGTATTTCTAGTTCTAGATCCTTGAGGAATCGCCACACTGTCTTCCACAATGGTTGAACTAGTTTACAGTCCCACCAACAGTGTAAAAGCATTCCTATTTCTCCACATCCTCTCCAGCACCTGTTGTTTCCCGACTTTTTAATGATTGCCATTCTAACTTGTGTGAGATGGTATCTCATTATGGTTTTGATTTGCATTTCTCTGATGGCCAGTGATGATGAGCATTTTTTCATGTGTCTGTTGGCTGCATAAATGTCTTCTTTTGAGAAGTGTCTGTTCATATTCTTTGCCCACTTTTTTATGGGGTTGTTTGTTTTTTTCTTGTAAATTTTCTACAAAGAACTCAAATATATGCAATTTTATACTCCATAAGTAATTGTTGTACAAATAAATTAATCTTAAAATTTATAAATTAGTTATTTTCAAATATTTTTCCTTTTTAATCTCTTTAACAAATATTGGGATCTCAAGATGAGCCAAGTGATAATCCAATAAATTATATGAGTAACTAATTTTGCATGGCTTAGTGAATGACAGAGGCAGAACCAAAAGCAGCTCCATTTTCTTCACCTGTGCTGGATTCTGTGGCCTAAGCCAGTGAAAAACTAATTTGCAGGTTATAGTTGTTAAAATTGAGTCTTCCCTGAGTAGTACTAAGGCCCTAACTCCTACTGGGGCTGAGGAGGTTATACCATTTTTCCCATACTTTTAATTCAATAGTCGTTTCTTCCTATTTTCAGTTCATCATGGGTCCTCTGGAAATCTCCTACCTTTGTGAGCAAAGATTACTGCAGGGTGGAAGACAGGTCCATGATTGCCCAGGCTGCAGTGCAAGAAGGTGAGCACATTTCAGTTTATCTCCCTACATTAGAAGGAAGAAACTTCTAGGTTAACAATCAGATGCATCTTCACATCCTAATGACCCCAATAAGATTAACTTTCACTTTTATATCTGAGTCAGTGCCAAAGGAAATGACAGTCTCCCTTCTCTTTTTGAGAAATTCATTTGTTCATGTATGCAGCTGAGTTTTTGGGTTACCTAGTATGTTATAAGGATTGTGAGGTGCAATGAGCACAAGGGTAAGCAAATGAGCTATC
Organism: Homo sapiens; assembly: GCF_000001405.40. Taxonomy (NCBI): domain Eukaryota; kingdom Metazoa; phylum Chordata; class Mammalia; order Primates; family Hominidae; genus Homo; species Homo sapiens. The sequence continues at coordinate 117,546,457 of NC_000005.10, forward strand.
ACAGGTCCCTTACATGTGGATTGTATGTTTGAGTGGGGAGGACAAATCTCCACACTTGGAGTAGTAATTACTACTCAGAGCCAATTACTCATTACCAGAATCACTGTGCTTTAGGCTTTGATCTTTGCTAGCATATATCTTCTTGGGTGAAATAAGTTACATCCCTCTATAAAAATCAGTGGTTAGAGTCATTGGTGAGAGGCAAGTTGGCAAAAGCAACAACCAACTTCTGAAGCTGCTGTCTAGCTGGGTACTTTCTCAGATTGTAGACTCAATAGTAGTTAGATCCCCAAACATTTGCACTGACATGCTATGTTACAGTTGCAACTGGTCTGGAGCCCGTGTGCTGGTCTAAAGCTTTTTCAATGCCTCATACAGAAAATGAGGAATGGATATTCTGAGACTATTGCTGTCCTTACTTGCAATTGGAATTCATGAGGCTCTAGTTTTGAGAAAAGGAGAAACGCTGAAAATGGCATGCCAGCTGGCCTTGATTCATTATTTACCCCGGGAACACTGGGCTTTAAGACTCCCCTGAAGCTCATAGCTGTCTCTCTTAGCAGATGTGTGAAACTTCAGCTCTTCCCATGGTAGTTTTGCACTATGACAATCCCTGAACACTGCTGTTACCACTGTATATGAACACTGAATGAACAAAGACATTTTCTACCTGAGTAAACCATAAGCTCAGATTTATTAAAATGCCAAGAGGTTAGTTATTATGGGAGATTAACAGAGCACTGCTGATCCTATTTTTTTAAGCAAGAAGACTTGATAGCTAAAGTTGTATGCCTCCTGAACTTACATGATTATTGCCCTGCTCCAATCCTTCATTTCAATGCAGGGTTCTTACAGCATCAAACAGCAGTTCTGTATGACTAACAGAAAAGCTAAACTTTGCTTCCCCTCCTTCCGTACTTTACCTGTATAAGAATGTTTAGATGTTTTCAAGTATGAATCATGAATGTTCTGAACTTTGGGAAGGTAACAGGTCAAATTTTAGGGTGTGTACATGTTCTCAACAAAATAGAAGTCCTATCACCTTCTTCACAAGGTAAAGAGTAAATTCACCTTCAGATCAATGCAAAATCACTGGAAAATAGTCATTGAATGGAAAATATATTTTGTGTTGGGCTGATAACCTACAATTTGGTGGGAGAAAAGGCTCTTAGTTGTTGCAGCTCCCAAATTTGTGGTATAAATACTTCTATCATGTAAGTTTAACAAATGACTCACCATATTCCTAAATACTTAACAATTGGCTCTTGCAAGCTATTATCAACTGGTTCCAGTAGAGCTTTTCTAAACTACATATTTCCCACTTAGGGAACAAATTGACCTCGATATGACCTAGTTTACTGTTTTTGATCAATTGAAAATAATTACAAAGAGATTGATTCTCCCTGTCCATTTGGGTGGAAATTATGCAGGAATTGCACCCTTCTGTTCAGGTTTCCAGGCCGCTAAAGCATCCCCCAAGGATACACTTATCCTTGACTGGGATATACTGTGCTGAGCTTATGAACTAAAGAGATGTCAAAGTCAGATACACAGAAAACAAGACCAAACTGGGCTTCCAAGAAAGGCACCTGAAGGAGTAATAATGGTATGAGATATAAAATCAAATGGACATCAAGAATTGTAAAAAATTCACAGGATGAGACAATTCATGCATTCAACACTAATCAGTTTTTGCCCTTAAGGACTGTATATTCTTATGGGGACTGGGGAAACCAATAAAGAAATCAACGAAAACAGAAAGAACAGAGATAGGGAAATAACAATATATGCAATAAAGAAAATTAAACAAGTTAATAAGACAATTTGGGTTTAGATGAGGAATGCAGAGGAGTCCTTTCTGAAAAAGTAACTTTTTAAACAAAATATTTCAGGTGGCTGTATTAGCTTTCTATTGTTTCTGTCACAAAAAAGTACCACCAAATCTTTGGATTAAAACAACACCAATTTATTTTTTTACAATTCTTGTGGTCAGAAGTCTAAAATCAGTCTCACTGGGCTAAAATCAAGGATTGGGAGACGTCTATTTATTTCACCTGAAGTTGGAAGTGCACTTGACTATTACATATTGGCCATGTATATTAGTGTTGCTGGAAAATTCCTTTTTATTTCAGTAATACATCCTTACATTGTTTTAGATTTTTCCTGCCTAGAATTGCATAGTCCATGAGTAATATTATATTATTATCATCCATTTCAGTGCTGATAAGTGACAACAAAAGGAATGACTTTTGTTTTGTTTCATTTAATGGGTTGGTACCTGCAGTGCCATGCTGAATAGAAGTCATCATAGGGAACAAACTAGGGCCATTCCCAGTCACAGGGGGAAAGAATCCAAGTTGTCACCATTAAAAATGATGTCTAGTGTAGATTTGAAAACATGCCTTTAAAAAGTAACATTTGAATCAAGCCCTCAGTGATAAGACGGAGCCAACAAACCAAAGATTTGAAAGTGTCTATTAGGTAAAAGTAACAAAAAACCAAGTACTTTGAGGTGGAAAATGCTCAGTGAGTTCAAGTGGCAGCTACTGTGGCTACAGCCCACTGCATGAATGTCAAGAAGATTAGTAGAAGATGAGGCTGAAGAAATAAGCAGGGGTACATTGTTTAGGGCCTTGTATGCCATATAAAGATTTTGTGTTTCATTCTAATTTTAATAAGAAATCGTTACAGTCTTTAAAGCAATTGGTGATATCTGATCTATATTTTCTAAAAGATAACTTGTTTTCTATAGAGAATGTAGATGGCAAAGGAAGTATAGAATGGATGTATATGGGCTAATCTGGAGGAATTCAGAGACAGACTCCTATGGTTGTTTATTATACAATCCTGGCACGGATTTGCAAATAAGTAGTTCTTGTCAGGGGCAGAAGAGGTACAAAAACTTTGTTTCAAAAAGAATGGACAATGTCTACATTGAAGTAACATAGAATCACAGCTTTTTGGCTTTCTTTTTTTTTTTTTTTTTTTTTTTGCTTAACTGAATGCGATAACACCAAGTGCCAAGGTCTCCTGCATAGCCAGTCCAATTCAGCCTTTAAAGTTAAATGCTTACATGGAAAGGAGCCCATTTCAACCTTTATATTGATGGCTGCTACTGCAAATGATTGGTTTGGTCAGCAAAAGGCTAGCAGAAAAATGAAACTTGTAAACTTTCTGACAAATAATGGCTCATAGTACAAAGAGTAAAGTTTAATGAGTATCTTTTCCCCCAAAAAAGTAAATTAAAGAGGAACGACTTATTTTCTCTTTAATTGGGTAAAAAGCTCTTCATGTGATGACTTTCATTGTGTACCACATGGGCAAACATTTCATGAATTCACCACTGATTTAGAACTTCGTAGACAACAAAAGTATTTCCTTCAGTATGTCTATTTATGGATTCTAAATTTCAGTAATTAACCAAGAAATAAAATAAACCATTTTTAATTAACCTGAAGATAAAACCCTTAAGAGATTCTTTTTTCTATAAAATTTTAAAATGATTCCTTATAATTATTTAATTATAATTACATAGAAATAAGGTTTTAGATTCTATTTTGAAGCATACTAATGTACCTCAAAATGAATTGTTACCTATAATTAAGAGTCACACTTGCACAGTAACTTGCAAATCTTGCCCGTGCTGAGTTTTCAACCTTGTCATGATAATGTTAATATAATGGTGATAAAATGCAGCAGCTACCTGATGACTTTGAAGTAGTCCTCTTTACAGAGTAATTTCTTATATATGTCTATAAATTAGATATAAGATGATTCTTTTTGCAAGCAAGTTTATTGCATTAAGCTGTTTCAAACCTATTATCAAAGACCAAAGGTAAAAAAGTAAATGGCATCTAGTAAAAAAGTAGATGGCAATAAATTTATTTCACCACATTTAAAATTAATATTCAGAATTAGTTATTGGCAATATGTACAAGGGCATACATGAAACACATACACGCATTATAGACAATCTATTTTCTGAGTATGAAATGTCCTTCAAGGAATCTTGCATGCAACTTTTTGTTTACATCATTATCTTCTAGGTTAATTCTTGCTACGAATAGTAGCCTGAGATTCATAACACAGTAACATTTTTACTATTGGCTAGGCAAATAGTATCAGAATTCTGATAGGGTAGAATCAGAAAGGGAGGAACAAAGAGGGAGAGGAGGAGGAGAAAGTGGAGGAAGAGGAGATCATAAAACAGTAGGAAGAACAAGAAGAGGAAGAAGAAGAGAAAGAGGAGGAAGAAGATGAGGGGAAGACAGAGAAGAAAGCAGCAGCAGCAGAAGAAAAGAGAGCAGTGGGAACTGCTATACTAGTTCATTGGGTGAATCCAAAAAAGTGACATTAGCGTTCTTCCTTCTCCAAGATGAAATCAGGATGGAGTGGTAACTTTCCAGCCATCCTTATGATAAGACATCAAAACTTTGTTTAAAATATACCAATTTCCCATAATGTCTGATGGCCATTTTTCATATGTAAGCTGCAGAAATAATTTTTAGGTCAAATATAACTTGGGGAGAGATTTTATATTATTTAGGATTACACAACACTCTTCTGTTTATGAGAAGCAGAGGCTCATTCAGGTTATTTCAACAATAGAAAATGTATTGTATGGATACATCCAGAGCACATGTGTCAGGTCTCAGAGAAACCTGGTGAAATATAAATATCTGGGCCTCCCAGCAAGAACAGGAGCTGCAGGACAACCATGCCTCATGATAGGTTCCCAGGTTCCTTGAAAGTTCTGCTGAATACATTATTTTATCATCCCCTCAGCAGCAGAATTTCATTGCTTTTCCTCTGCTTCTGTCAGTACCAATCAACTGGTCCTCTTTACTTTCCTATTTAAACCCCCTCATCCATTTTCCCTACCTGATTTTCCATTTAATCACCATCTTCCTTATTTCAGCAGAGCTTTGGCATTCTGCCACCATGAAGGCCACTGGCAAACCTGTGCATGAATTTTGTTATGGGCTACTTGTTACAACTGTGCAGTCAGCTGTGGCCGGGAGGCTGGCTTAGTAGTAGTAGCAGGCTCTCTTCCATGTGGACCATGGGAGTGGCTACAGTTTGGATGTTTGGCTTCTCTGGTCACCAAATATTTGAGAGATGATTCTGATTACAGCTTTGAAAGTTTCCACATTTCGGAATCTTAATATATAAGATATATATACATGTATGTAATAAAATTATGTATATACAATAGATATGTAATAAAATAACATATAAGATATATATATGTAATAAAAGGGGAAGGATAGAATCAAATAGAAAAATAATATATAAAGTTATCATGGCAAGCCTATCACAATGAAAACTGAAATGTCTCAAGTAAGCAAGTCCTTGACTTTCTGAAAAACCTCACATTGATTAAGTCATTCACTCATTTAGTTATTCATGTTACACATGCTATTGATCTTCTACTATATTTCACAATCTCAACAAACAGGTTCCCAGACCCTACTTCCAACCTCTCCCTTTGCCTTTAGTGTGGCCTAAGTTGCTTTATGAAATGACATGCAATTAAACTAAATACATGAAATTAAATGGTGATGCGTATTTTCAGAGATTACATGACAGAGGCCACATTAGAGAGTGTGCTCAGGGAGGCTATCTCTGCTACTTGTGCTGAGACACAAAGAATGAGAAGGAACCAGCCTAAAGCAATAATGTTCAATGGCAGCATTCAATTTTGCAGTGCCCCATGGTGACAAAAATTAATAGAATGCAGTTTTTAACCCCACCTTTTCACCTAGCTAATTCACTATGTACAGCAAAATATGGGTCCAATGGAAAAGGCATGTGAGGCATTTTCTTCACATTAGTCCTTTAGTACTGCAATGGTACTGTTACAATAAGCCACTCGTTGGCTTGCTTCAAATGTTTCTGTAATTTGGGAATAAGAAAAGAAATTGCCACCTGGAAGAGAATATTTTTCAGGAATGATAGGACAGCCCATACCACAAAATTATACTAACAGCAGTTGAGCATTGATCCATCTGGAATCTTTAAACAATGCATCTGGCAATTTACAGGTAATAACTTGCCACATTTGACAGAAAAGGTCATAAATATTTCTTATTATTACCAAACAAGACACCTGTGAGCTCCAAGCTAATACTTATAAATCTATGGGCCATATTGGCTGGCTGTCCTGAAGTAAACATAAAGTCAGCTAATCTTACAAATTGGAAAATGCCAGAAACACAGCCAGAAGAGAGAATATTTGTGAATAAAAGTAGTCTGTCTTATGATAAGATGTAGTTGGATTTCATCTTAAGTCAGTCATTGATATTACAATCTGTGATATTACAATCACAGATCCCTGTTTTTCTGGAACTCTCCTGGTTTATGCCAGTTGCCTTGGTGTATTAAAAGGTAAGTTATATTGTCTCCCTAGTCCTAACACAACCGTCCTCCAGAAAACAGAAAGATAGAGTGAGAAAGAACTGAAACATAACTTAGATTTCCAACTCTCTTAAGAATAGAAAATAAAAGAGTTGTTCGTTTTACTGAGGATACCACTTCCTTAGTCTCTCCTGCTGCATTACTGGCTCAGGCTGAAGGAGAGCTCTCCCAAAAAAAAGCAGGCTAGCATCCTGATATACATATATACACACACACACACACACGCACACATATATATATGTGTATATATACACATATACATGCATATATACATATACACACATATCTCTATATAATATAGAGATATCATAGGTTATATATCATATATGTTAGCTTGTCATATATATGATACATATATGATAGTCTAACATATATATGATAGGCTAAACTCTGTACTCAGCTAAGTGCAACTGCTCTAATGTTCTTTCTGAGAAGTAATGCTGGCCTACTAACATTTTCTGAATCCTCAATAATACAATTCTTTTTTGAAAAAGCAGTAGATGTATTGTATACACACTCCAAAAGCACAAAGAAAAAATTATTTATAAAAATGTCAACTAAAGACTAATTTTATAAATATCAGGAATAACTGTATTAAGCACAGAAATTTAAATTCTTCTAACTAAAATGCATTAACTTAATATGATGAATTCTAGTGGATGTGAAAATTATCAACTCATCAATCATTTGAAATTTGCAAAGAAAAGGTTTTTGAAAGAATTCAGTGTCACTAATATCTCTTTTTTTAAAAAGATAAAATTTCATTGTTCAATTCCCACCTATGAGTGAGAACATGCGGTGTTTGGTTTTTTGTCCTTGTGATAGTTTGCTGAGAATGATGGTTTCCAGCTTCATCCATGTCCCTACAAAGGACATGAACTCATCATTTTTTATGGCTGCATAGTATTCCATGGTGTATATGTGCCACATTTTCTTGATCCAGTCTATTGATGTTGCACATGGACACAGGAAGGGGAACATCACACACCGGGGACTGTTGTGGGGTGGGGGGAGCGGGGAGGGATAGCATTAGGAGATATACCTAACGCTAAATGACGAGTTAATGGGTGCAGCATACCAGCATGGCACATGTATACATATGTAACAAACCTGCATGTCGTGCACATGTACCCTAAAACTTCAAGTATAATAATAATAAAATTAAAAAAAAAGAAAAAAAAAGATAAAATTTTATTGCAATAAACAAGTTTCTTCTCATTACAGACTAGTTTCTCCTTACCTTTTTAAAGTTCTATGTTCCCTAAGTTTTGAGCTTCATTTTCTTTGCATCAAATAACTTATTTGATAAGAGTGGCTAGCATTTTCTACATAACAGAAATCAAGTCAGGCAGGGCACAGTGGCTCACACCCATAATCCCAGAACTTTGGGATGCCAAGGTGGGTGGATCACCTGAAGTCAGGAGTTCAAGACCAGCCTGGCCACCATGGTGAAACCCCATCTCTACTAAAAATACAAGAAATTAGCCGGGTGTAGTGGCAGGCGCCTATAACCCCAGCTATTTGTGAGGCTGAGGCAGGAGAATCACTTGAACCTGGGAGGCAGAGGTTGTAGTGAGCTGAGATCGTGCCACTGCACTCCAGCCTGGGCTACAGAGTGAGGCTCTGTCTCAATAAATAAATAAATAAAATAAAACGAAATAAAATAAAATAAAATAAAAGTCATTTAAATTTCAGGATATGATTAGCAGAATAAATTGAGGTAAACCAATGGTAGCAAAAGCAGATTAAAACTACTCAAAATAATTCTTTTCCTGAAAAAACTTATACAAATGGTCATGAATTCAGATTATGGGTTAAATAGTGAGGGGAGTTGGTGAAGTTAAAAAACAATGTATTAGGAAGCTAAACTAAAATGTATATAGTTTGTGTGGTGTTCTTTGAAAATTACATCAAAGCCATATTATCTATATGTGCATACATCTTAGCTAAAATCCACCCAGGAGGTAAAGAGAGAGAAGAGTACTAATGCATTAATTATCCCTTTGCCCCATTTAGAAAAACATGTTAGTTAGTATTGCCTATTTCATTAACACCCTAAGATAACCATGCAATATCCGAATTTCACACGTTTAAAAAAATTTCTGTGTTCAGGGAAGCAAAATTGAGAACGTATTTAAATATTCATTATTAAAATTAAAGTGTAGGGTATTTGCAAGGTTTTAAATGGCTATCTTCCAAAAGAGAAATATAATTAAAAACTTGATTTGTGGAATTTAAAACATTATTTTACTTTTAGCTATTAATTGTATCTGCCTTTATATCTTTTCAAGACCATCCTTATCTCTATATGTATACTTCTATACTGCTTTTATTGATGATATTGCTTTAATTGGTTCTTATTAAAGAATAATTTTTATCCATCCATTAAAGAACATCCATTAAAGAACAATTTTCAACCTTAGTCTGTAGTGCTACTGCAAAGTAGCACTTTCCTTGAGGAAAGCAAAGTGTCTTTGAGGAGAGAGAAGAATCTCCACCAACTTCTGATTTGATAGGTCTCCTAAGCCTTGTCTTGATTGATGGCAAGATGAAAGCAATACCTGTTTAATATACCAGAAGCATGCATTCCCAGGTGCAAGGGGCCCTTCATTCTCATGTTTCCAGAAAATGCTTTGATTTTATATAATGGCTGAGTATTTTATCCCATGTCAATGGATTAAAAATTTGAAATCATGATAACAAATATAATTGAGAGTTAGTAAAAATTAACCTTTGGCATCATTCATTTCCCTATCATTTCTCCCTCCACAGTATGATGGCACCATATCTCATCTTGCACCTCAATGATCATCTAACAAGAATCCTTCTGCAGATCCCATCTAAAATTACATTTCCAGGCATTCCACATAACCGGAGGAAAAAAAACATGGATCCTATGGAAAGTATGTAAGTAAGATAGACTTCAGTTTGAATCTATTCTGACACCTCTGTAACATTAAACAGGGTGTTTTGGCTCTTTTACTATGAGCTTTCTTATCTGAAAGTAAGAATAGTAGCAATTTTCTTTTAAACTTGTTGGAAAAGTTAAATGAGATATACGTTTAAATCACTTTTGTGTCTGGCACATAGTAGGTATGCAATATACAATTAACTTTTCTACTCTCTAATCCAACATATCCACCTTGATTAATAAAAATGCATTTATCTTGGTGTACTAATATGTGAAGTGGGTCTTTAATACCTTAATTTTTTTTCATGAAACATCAGAATTAAAACTCCAAAGCATCACAGAATCTATAATTTATCCACATTTTTACACATTCCTAAACAGAATTTAGTTTTACTTTTTAAATTTTCCATATGTTTGAATGTATGCAATTATAGATTTGAAACGTATGTATATACATATATAAATCATTATCTTCAAATTTTAAAATTATTACTTTCAATATTTCTTCATAGTTCATAGTTGTTGCTTTTATAGTTGCCTAACATCCTCTTTTACTGTTATTGGAAACTTACCACTATATCCAGAATTTACCACAATAAATAATGTTGCTATTAAAATTTTGTTTTATATAATCTTTTTCAAAAATTCTAAGAAGCAAAATGACTGAACCAATCTGGGTAGTCACTATCTTTTAAGTGGCCCTTGATAGCAGTATGTGAAAGAACAGTGAGTTTTTCTCAAAGGAGTCATGTTAAACTTGATGTTCAGTTAACAATGTGTTTCCATAGGGCTTAGAGAAAAACCTTATAGCAGCCAGTGCCTTTGACTTCTTGAATCCTTCACCCATGTATACAGCTGACTGTCTTACTCATGAACTTCCAAGTAAATCACAATATAAATCTGGAATTACTCTACAAATATGGACCTCTATGCCCAGTGGAAAATAATTGCCACAATCTTTCCTCTAGGATAATTAATGTTGTTTACATATGTAAGCAACAATACTTATCTTCAAAACACTGAATTCTGAAGAGTTCCATAAACAACAATTTTTCAAATAAAGTAATGTCTTCATAAGCAAATTTACTTATTTATTTTCATCATTTATCTATTTTGTAGTTTCATTTTGGTTACTGTTAACACCTTCACTTTTATCTAAAAAGTATGGCATCTTCCTAATGCCAGTTTTTAATTCAGAGTTTCAAATCATTCAGAATACTGAGGATTATTTTGTGTAAAAATAAATTGCCCATATCATGCGTATTTCATTTCCTTGGTACAAGTTTCTATGTTCAACCCTGTTAGGACATGTTTGACTTCTCTCTCTTGATTTATGTCACTTTCTTTTTCATTCTCTGCAAAGCCCTCTCGCCTTCCAGCCTTTCCCACTCATTTGAGAATACGAAGGTTTGATGTAGGTGAATTGGCCTCCCTGAAGACGAGGAGTTTGACACAGATTGCAGAAACTTTCCTCTAAAGTTGTATATCATATGAAGAGTTGTTAAAAGAAATAGCTGCCTAAAGTATCTCATTTCACATTACCTGGAGAGGGAGTTTTCGTCAGAAACCATCATATTGATAGGTGAAAATACATTGCCCAGCATATTCACCACGACACATTATATATGCTACTCCCATGAATAATTGAAATTGTATCCCACAGAGTTAACATTATTAGCATTCAATTGAGCATATGACAGTAGATTTAGAGAAAAACCTCATTCTGAATATTTAATAATAATATTTAGCATTTTTATGGTATATTATATTTTCAAAGTGAGGTATAAAGATTTATAATGAATTAGTGATCTCCATGGGATGTACCTTGGAAGCATGTCTAGCTCGTTCTGCCCATTTTACAGTTGAAGAAACAGAGGACTTGCGAGATTAAGGGATTTGCTCAGTCTATCTCTGTATCTTCCTTTTACTGAGTTCTGCTGGCAGAAGACATCCACTGTCTTTTAAGGGGAAATTAAGATAAAAATGTAATATACAATGTTTTGTATTGAAATTCAAATATTCAAATAGCACTGACAATGGCTCCTTACTGAAGATGGCATGTGAAGCGAATAACACTGGCTTCTTAATTCTTCCAAAGTCTTCAAAAATAAAGATGATTATAAGTAGGTATTTGGCAGGAAAGATAACTGTAGAGTCATGGAGTTTTGTAGTGAATTGCCCTGGCAATTCAGGTCATGAGGCTTCTTAGCCAAGAAGCAGTTCTATAAACTGATATGTGGGCCTGCTACAATACATAAAATTAAAGGATTCCCCTGGGCATCTTTGTCTACAAGCATATTTCAAAGCATTTTGCACTTTGCCATGATAAATTTGATGTTGAATATTACAAGGTAGCCAGGCATTCAAGGGAATTAAAAACATTTCTAATTTCTGAAAAATAACAAAATGAGAAGGCAATTTTCAAAATATTTTCAGTTTTCACTTCTAATCAAGGAAAAGAGTCTAATGGCCATTAAACATATATATCCTTTTTAGTTAACTTTAGTGTGTGGTTTTTTTTGGCCAAAAAATGAAACTATTGAGAATATATTCCATTTTAAAAACGTTATAATACTATAAACAAAGGTATATTTGAATAATTTTGGCAAATGTCAGGGTCAAGCAAAAATGTGTTTTTAGACAATGAATTAAGAATTATAATAGGATTTTGGAAACTGAATGTATGAGTATTAGTATTAGTATTTCCTCCTTTACAAAAGCACATATTGGGGTATGGAATGACTTATTTATTGTCACAGAACTGATTGGGGCAATGGTCAAATCACAATTCTGATTATTTAACCTTTACTTCTTTACCTTTTTTTTTAAAACTGTTTCTTTATCTCTTTGATTCTTGATTGGAATGACAGAAAATTAAGAATTGTCTTTTTTTTTGAGACGGGGTCTCGCTCTGGTCACCTGTCTTTTTGAAATTAATTTTTATCTTTTACAACTAGATATTATGAAGTTAAAATACCTTTTACTTAAAATATAAACTCATAGTAATGGAAGCTGATTGTGTCAACCGCCTTCCTTCCACCTCCTATCCTAAAATTGTAGTGATTCTCTATTGACTACAAAAAAAAAATTCCTCCCATTTGGTTTGAGGATTAAGACATCTCCTTATTTATCCATAAACATTTATTAATTTACCTTTGATTCCCATTGCCAATCTGTGTTCTGGCCACATTGAATTATTTATTTGGAGTTTCTTTTTCTAATATTTCTGGTTCCCTGGTTTTTCTCATGTTCTCATTGCACCAAATTCTATTTGCTTTCTCTCCACACAGAGTAAATCTGCTCAGCAGCAAGGCTAATCTTACGTTTTATATCTTCTGTGAAGTCTTCTCTGCACCCCAGAGCAATAAGTGGGCTCCTCCTTCTCTGAAGTTTCTGAGCTCTCTAGCTAGAGCTTATCCATTTAGTCACATACAACCTGCTGGACTGCAGACGCCGCAGGTTAGAGTTCTAGCTGATTAACCTTTCTACCTCCAATAGTAATCCCAAAGTCTAATGCTTTTTCTTCATTCATTCATCTACTCATTCATTCACCCATTCAACTAATAACTGCTTTAAAATCCTCTGGGTAATAGGCACTGTCTGATTAATGAGTAGTTACTCAATAACCATTTTGTTAAATGAACAAGAGTAAGCTAACAAAGGTCAGTTTGAAAGGACCTAGAAGTCAAAGAAGTTTATCTGGCAACAGAAATAAAGTAGACTCATTTATTAGAATTAAATGCAGATTAGTAATATTGCTGGACAAATTCCTAATGGATATAGATATCCATATCTACCTACACACACAACACACACACATACACACACACACACACACACACATGGCATAGATTCTTTTCTTTCCTATCTTTGACATAACATGACTGACTGACAAAGCATAACATAACTAGCTTTTGTGGCTCAGAATTTACTTTGAAAGTTAACATTTATCTGAGTTTTGAAGGGTTGATTTTTATTGCCCTCCATACAGTTACTTTTCTGTAGGTAAAGCAGCTTCCTGTGAACCTAATAAAAAATTCACATAAGGCAGATAAAAATATGAATAATAGCTATTTAAAGGTGTATATCAAACACATGAAAGAAAACTTAAAGACTTCAGAAGAAAATCTTTTTGTGTGACCAAAACAGACAAAAAATGGCCTCCAAAAATATAAGTAAAAATTACATAGGAAGAGTTATAAGTCAGAATATGAATACCTATTATATACATCTATATTGATACGGATAGCTATATAAATCCAACAATTATTTTCAAATATCTTGATGTCTATATGCTAAATACCCATATTATATGCAAATTCATGCCATTAAAAATTATAAAATATATGTGCTAAAATTTTCCAATAAAATTCTTTTCAAAAATTTTTTTTGCTGTTAAAAGATGACAGCATAGCTAGAATATAATATCTGGTACCTTTCACAGGCTTCCTTAAAGATTAGTAAGAATTCTTCATGGTATACATCTCGTTAGCAAACCAAAGCCCAAAATATGAGTTGTTAGGAAAAAAGATAATCTTTAACTAGCCTATTTGTTCTTTTTTGGAGGGAGAAAGAGCCTAGGGGATTGTACATCAGTGCTGTAAATTAAAAGGGAATTAAAAATATTATCAGAGTTGCACACTTGCTGTCAGCTTAGAAGTGAACAAAGCTCCCTGTTAAATGAAGTGTGCTTGTTCTTACTTCTTTCTGTGAACTGAATCACGTTAATAGAAGTAACAGTTTGGTAGGTAGGAGCTGGGCTATTGATTGTTTCTCCACAGCGTTGATTGCAAACTTTGAAAATTTGGCCTCATTTCTTCAGTTCACTGGGGAATTGATATTATCTAACCCTTTTACCAAGTTCATATATGAATGTTGTAAATAAGGTCATCATAAATTTTATTATCTCTCTATTTTTTGAAATAGTAAATTTAAATCTCAAAGCCATGTCTGAGAAGGTGAAACTGCTTCTTAAAACTGAGTAAATTTGGTTATATCTTTACTTTAGTGATTTATTTTTCTTCCGACTAGTCATTCTTCCCGCAATACTATCTTGGCCATTTGTTCAATATAGATGAGACCTGAGTACCTCAGTATATGATTTATTTACTTTTTCTTTTCTACTTATTTTCCTATCAATTTCTTAGTCTGCTTTCATATTTACCTACCAGAATGTGATGTTACTCCAGCACTTCCAAGCCTACTTGTAATGATTGTGAACTCTATCTGCACCTTATAACCACATATTTAACTGATTCCACATATTCCACATCAGATTAAATTTTCCATTGTCTTTTGTTACTCTATTTCTTGTTTCAAATTCAAGATCATCCACAAATTTGCAAGTCACACTGGTAACGTTATCTGATCACATCCTTTTCTTGTCCTTTCATTACTTAAAATGCTCATGAATGCAAAGTATGTTGGCTTCTTGGTATAAGAGACTGTTGTCTTGTCTAAATGTATCTCAGGATGAAATAAATCTAAAAAGAAGAATCCTTACTTACCTTTGCCTTACCTTATATTCTGTAATACATTTTATATAATGTCAAAACACAGGAGTAATAAGTAATGCTAAATTGTCCATTACCAGTACAGCTACATGGTTTCAGTTGCCGTTTCAGGAACAAGAGAATTAAGAAAAGTAAAAGATGATATTAAATGTTTGCCTAAAATTTGAAAGTAAAAACAGTCAAGTGAGAAGGATAGTGATAATCTCTACAACCCCCGACACACATTTACCTGTGTAACAAACTTTTACATGTAGCTCTGAACTTAAAATAAAAGTTAAAAAAAGACTAGAGAAATAACTATTTTTGAAATAGTCTTATTTAGAATCTCATATTAGTCTAATGAAAGATGACGCTAAAAATACAAATTATTTAGCATTTTGTTTAAATTATAATATGCATATAAAATTACATCATTCATAAGTGCACACATCAGCAAATCTTCCACAAAGCTAAAACACTCAGGAAATAACAAGTCACATAAAGAAAGAGAATGCTGACAGTCCCCAGAAACCTCTATTGTGTTTCCTCCCATCTATTACCTGCGCTGCAAGCTTACCATATTCTGACTTCTATTATCATTTGATTACTTCACTGGTTTTGAAATGTATATAAATGTTTTTCACCCAGTATCATATTTTTGATTCGTGCATTTTGTTTCCTGTAAATATGGTTTGTTCATTTTTATTGACATACTTTTTTCAGTGAACAAATATATCAAATTTACCCTCTCTTACAAATAGGCATTTTGGCATTTTTAGTTTTTGTCTATTAAAAATTTTTCTGTGAACATTTTTATTTATGTATTTTGGTTAAACGTGTGCATTTTTATTTGGTGTGTGTGTGTATATATATATGTATGTATATGCAATCTCACAATGTCAACAATTTTTTTTTCCTTTAACAATTGACTAATTCTAAAATCTACATAGGCAAGCAAAAATCTTGGAATTGTCAAAACAATTTTGAAAAAGAAAAGCACTGTTGGAGAATTTATACTATCTGATTGAAAGACTTGTGGAACTACAGTAATCAAGATTTATTTTATATACATTATGTAGAGAGATAGATATATAATATCTAAGATTGGAACTGCTGAATTACTTAGAATGCATATGTTCAGGTTTTTCATTTTCAGTTGAAAAGGCAATTATTTGTTTGTTCACTTATCTTGACTCCTTTAGTCCAAAATTTCTAGCCTTATTTCTAGACTATTCTGCCCCATTAAGATATGCGTATTAAGAAAGACATTATGTAATAGGATATATATATATATATATATATGGCCTTTCCCTGCATCCATAGCCCAATATCTTGGTTACTGTAGTTCCATAAGTCTTAAGTTCCATAAGTCAATCAGACAGTATAAATCTTCAAATAGTGCTTTTCTGTTTCAAAATTGTTTTGACAATTCCAAGTCTTGTTTGCCTATGTAGATTTTAGAATTAATCAATTGTTAAAGAGAAAAAAAAACCTGTTGAGATTGTAAATGAGATTACATTAATTGTATTAATCAATCTGAGCAAAAATAACATCTTAAAATTGTTGAGTCATCTAAATCATAAGCATGGCATATGACGCCATGATTTTAGGTCTTCTTTAATTTCTCCCAGTGTTTTTTTATTTTGCTTTGTTTTGATTTTTTTCATGGAGCAGGCCTTGCACATATTTTGTTAAATTCTCCAAAGTATTTTGTGATTTTATTATGTTATTGTACATATTATTCAATTTCAATTGTTTGTTGACAGTTATAGAAATACAATTTTTTCTATATTAATTTTCTGTCCTGTGACCTTGCTCTGCTTCCTTTTTAGTACTTTTTTTTTCTAGATTCCTTTGGATTTTCTACAGTCACAATCATATCATCTACTAATGAAGAGTTGTATTACTTCCTATTCTCTATTTTATATGCATTTAATTTATCTTCTTTTCCAATTGCATTGGGTAAGTGCAATGTTGAATAAGAGTAGTGAGAGCAGATGTCCTTGTCTTGTGCCTGATCTTAGGGGGAATATATTCAGTTTTCTGAGCTTGCACATGATATTGGCTTTTTTCATAGCTATCATGTATCTACTTGAAAAGTTTGGTTTTCTGTTTTTTAAAACCGTTTCATTATTAATAGGTGTTGATTTTGTCAAAGTTTATTTTTTGTCTACTGAAATTTATTTTTCCTTTTATAAAAATTGTAATGATTTTCAATGTTAAAACAACCTTGCAGCCTTGAGATGAGCCACAGTTGGTCACAGTTCATTAATCATTTGAAATATTACTGAATACTCCTCATTAGTATTTCGTTAAGTATTTTTAAATCTGTTTTCACTAACTGTATTAAGGTGTAGTTTCTTATCTTGTAATTTCTTTGTCAGGTTTTGCTACCAGGGTAATTCTGACTTCATAACATTATTTGGAAAGTGGTCCCTCTTCCAGTATTTTCCAAGTTTATGTAGAGTTGGTATTATTTCTTTAACTGTGTCACAGAATTTACCATGAAATCAATTGAGTAAGATAATTTTTTTCTAGGGAGATTTTTAATTGTGAAATTTATAACTTTTCTCTCTGTGTGTATATAGGGATATATAGGAATATTTAGATTTTCTATTCTTGAGTTAGTTTTAATAATTTTTTCCCTCAAATTTATTGGCATAAAATTATTTCTAACATTTTCTAGTTGTCCTTTCAGGATCTATGCTTATGTCCCCTCAATTATTCTGATATTGGTGACTTGCTTCATGTCTCTTTCTTTCCTGATAAATCTGGTTGAGTTTCATTAATGTCACTGATTTCAAAACAAGAGCCTTTTGTTTTATTGATTTCCTCTATTGCTTGAGTACTTTATATTTTATGGATTTCTGCTCTGGTCTATTATTTTAGTTATCCTTTGGCTTACAGTCGATTTTGTTAGCACTTCTTTTCCTAGAATCTTATTGTGCATGATTAGGTTCTTGACTGTTGAACTTTTTAAATCTAACATATGCATTAAAAATATGTAATTTCCTCTAAGTCTTACTTAAGTGACATATTACCAATTTTGATATGTTGGGTTGTTTATGGTTACTGAGTTCCAAAAATTTTTTAATATATACTGTAATTTTTCATAATCTCATGTTAATGCAAAATATGTTATCTAAGATTTAAATATTTGTTTTATTCCCATGCTTTTATTATTGATTTTTAATTCCAGTATAGTCAGAGATTGGTATTATTTAGATCCTTTTAAAACTGTTGAAATTTATTTTCATGGTTCACAATATGGTTTATTATAAAGAGCATGTATTCTGCTGTTTGTACGTTTTGAATAAATGTCAATTAAGTTCACACCAGTTGATTGTGTTGTTCAGGTCTTCTGTTATACTTTCAGTAAATTTGCTGAATTGTTCTCTCACTTAGAGAGAGTGAAATGTTGAAGTTTCCCACTATAATTATAGATATGTCAAATTTTCTTTACAATTCTGTCATTTTTTGTTTTTGTTTGTTTGTTTGTTTGCTTTTGAGACAGAGTTTCGCTACTGTTGCCCAGGCTGGAGTGCAATGGCATGATATCTGCTCACTGCAACCTCTGCCTCCCGGGTTCAAGCGATTCTCCTGCCTCAGCCCCTCGAGTAGCTGGGATTACAGGCACCCGCCACCATGCCGAGCTAACTTTTTGTATTTTTAGTAGAGATGGAGCGTCACCATGTTGGCCAGGCTGGTCTCGAACTCCTAACCTAAAGCGATCCGCCTGCCCCAGCCTCCCAAAGTGCTGGGATTAAAGGCGTGAGCCACCGCGCCTGGCCTGTTTCATGTAATTTCAATCTATTTTAGTGTTTGTACATCTGTTTATGATTATTTTTCACGGAAAACTGACCCTTTAATAATTGTATAATATCCCTCTTCATCTCTCTAAACACTTTTTTTCTAAAATCTACTTTTTCTTAAATACAGCGACTGTACTAGTTACGGTTAGTGTTTTTATAGTATGTCTCTATTACTCTGTTATTTAACCTACTTGTTTTTTATATTTAAAGTGAGTTTCTTATACACAGTATGCAATTGTCTTGATTTTTTATTTTTTATTTTTATTTCATTTTATTATTATTATTATTATTTGAGATGGAGTCTCGCTCTGTTGCCCAGGCTGGAGTGCGGTGGCACGATCTCGGCTCACTGAAAGCTCCTCCTCCTGGGTTCACGCCATTCTCCTGCCTCAGCCTCCCGAGTAGCTGGGACTACAGGCGCCCGCCACCACGCCCGGCTAATTTTTTGCATTTTTAGTAGAGACGGGGTTTCACCTTGTTAGCCAGGCTGGTCTCCATCTCCTGACCTCGTGATCTGCCTGCCTCGGCCTCCCAAAGTGCTGGGATTATAGGCGTGAGCCACCGTGACTGGCCTATTTTTTATTTTATTCTATTCTATTTTATTTATTTATTTATTTATTTATTTATTTATTTATTTATTTATTTGTCGGAGTCTCGATCTCTAGCCCAAGCTGGAGTGCAATGGCACCATCTCGGCTCACTGTAACCTCTGCCTCCCAGGTTCAAGTGATTCTTCTGCCTGAGCCTCCCCAGTAGCTGGGATTACAGGCACCTGCCATCATGTCCGGCTAATTTTTGTACTTTTGTAGAGACGGGGTTTCACCACGTTGGCCAGGCTGGCCTGAAAACTCCTGACCTTAGGTGATCTGCCTGCCTGGGCCTCCCAAAGTGCTGGGATTACAGGCATGAGCCACCTCACCTGGCCTGAGTCTTGATTTTTTGAGTGGTCTGCGAATGTACGTTTTTTAGTTGGAGTGTTTAGTTTAGTGTTAAAATTGCATTTACATTAAATGCAATTTTCAATGGTGTTGAAATCCACCATTATAGCATCTGTTTTCTCCCTTCCCATCTGACGCTGTTCACTTTCACCTCCATCTTCTTGGATCGAAGATATTTTAAATAATTCAATTTATATTCACAATTAAATTACTGAGTATACACTTTTATTCTTAAGTGCTTTTCTAGTGCTTATGATACACATCTTAAATTTATCTCATTATAACCCCAGATATTGTATCAACATGCTTAAAATGAGGGAAATTACAACAATACATTTACACTTACCCCCTCCAATTTTTGTGCTTTTTGTGCTGTTACAGCCACAAATTTTAATTTTTCAAATATTATAAGCATCACAGTACATTATTTTGTTGTTTGTAGTGCTATTTGTTTTAGTTCATAATCTTTTAAAGATATTTTAACATGAGCATTAAATTATTTTATATTTAGAAACTTTTTTGTTTTTTGTTCAGTGCTTTGCATAGATCTGAGTTTCTATTTGTTATCATTTTCTTCTGCTTCAAAAATTTCTAAAACATCTATTGTATCGATCTGCTGATGACAAATTTAATTAGGTTGTCTGAAAATGTGTTTATTTTTTCATTGAATTCTAGATTTGAAGATTTAGCTCCTTATTTGCCACCTTAAAGTCATGTCATTGCCTTTATGGCATTCATAGTTTCAGACAAGCTATATATTGTAATTCTTAACTTATTTCTGTGAAGGTAGCAAGTATTCCTTGCCTTCCTTTTGATTTCTTTTTATTTTCTTATCTGGTTTTCAGTTACTTAACCATGATATGACATGATGTGATTATCTTTGAAGGAATAACTTTAAAATTTTTAAATTAAAAATATATATCTATGCATTCAAAAAGCTAAATATTAAACTACTTGATATTATAGCAGACTATCCTAGAGCTCTTTTTATTTTTTAACCTTTATATTTATCTCTGTGATTTTTTTGTTTAGTTGAACATTGCTATGTCTTCAAGTTCACTGATCATTTTTACAGGTTTCTAGTATGATGATAATAAATTATGTATTATTTTTAAATATTAGCTATTGCTATTCACAATTGCAAACACATGGAATCAACACAAATGCTCATCAATGATAGCCTGGATAAAGAAAATGTGGTACATATACACCATGGAATACTATGCAACCATAAAAAGCAATGAGATCATGTCCTTTACAGGGACACGGATGGAATTGGAAGCCATTATCCTCAGCAAACTCATGCAGGAACAGAAAACCAAACACCACATGTTTTCACTTATAAGCGGGAGCTGAATAAGAGCTGAATAAGGAGAACACATGGACACAGGGAGTGGAACAACACACACTGGGGCCTGTTGGGTGATGGAGTTGGTCAGGAGAGAGCATTAGGAAAAATAGCTAATGCATGCTGAGCTTAATACCTAGATGATGGGTTGATAGGTGCAGCAAACCATCCTGGCACACGTTCATCTATGTAACAAACCTGCACATCCTGCACATGTACCTGGCACTTAAAATTAAAATTAATAAAAAAAGAAAAAAGAAAGATGGGTGGGAGCATAAACTGAAGAATTCAAGCAGCCTTTACAAACTATAAAATGCAAGGAAATGGTTCCTACTTAAAGCCTCAAGAAAAGAAGGAATACTTATTCATTTCTTCCTGCAATTTTAAGCTAATACATAGCATCATTTTCCTTTTACAGAAAATATTTTCTTTATACAGTCATCCTTCAGTGTATGTGGGGAACTGGTTCCAAGTACCCTGGATATACCAAAATGCACACCCACTCAAGTCCCACAGTTGACCCTGCAGAACTCACATATATAAAAGGTCGGCCCTCCGTATATGCAGGTTCATAAATACTATATTTTGTACATATACTATACTGCATTTGATTGAAAAAAACACACATGTAAGTGGACCCATGCAGCTCAAACCTATGTTATTCAAGACTCAACTGTAGTAGATATGCTGATCACAGGTTTTCTTTGTTTTTCTATGACTAAAAATGTCTATTTTACATTCAGTTTTGAATTATGCAATAATAAATTATGAAGGTCTAGCTTAATCATTATTTTCTTATAGCTGTTTGAGGATATCACTTTGATGTCATGGTAGAAAAATTGGTGTGCCACCCAAATACTCCCATCAAGAAAGAACTTGTCTTTGTTATCAGCAGACATTCTCCAGCTGTCAGTAACTTCATGATTTGCCTCCAGTACACATAGCTGTCTTTTCAAAATGTGCTGTTTTCGGTCAACTGATAACCAAGGATTGCAGTGGAAATATAAAGACACAGCGCATTAATTGGCCCAACATGGGCTAAATCATAGAGGCCACAGATTTCCATGAGATTAGCCAAGACTTTGCTGTATCTTCATCATAAATTTTCAGTTTTCACTCAAAATCCTACCTCTTTCCTGCTTTATGCTGCAGGTGTTAATCACTAATAAATATCCTGTATGCTAAACCTTGTCTCAGCATCTTCTCTAGAAAACCCAAACTGGGACAGTTGGTATCAAAACTGATTTGAAAAAGCATATGATGAAATAAGAATGTGGAAACTGATTACTCACTGCATACCTAGACATAAGTTATCTGTCACTGATTTTAAGTGGAACACAGACCCAGTGATAGTCCAGTTGTTAAAATTCTGGGAAAAAGAAATACAATAGAATGTGTGATGTAGCTGGCATTTGAGATACACAGAGGGAATAATAACCAACAAGTTTCATTATTTTTCAGTTACTAAGCACCACTGGAATCCTAAAAGAGAAAATGAAAACCGCAAGTGATTAACAGGCAGGTAAAAGCCAAGAGTGGAAATCAGATAACCTCTTTTGTGATTCACTCCTGCTTAGCTTTTACTTGCAGCAGCAGGACAGAGAAAGCTGGGAACCAGGATGAGGCCCAGTGGCTGGGCTCAAAATTGTAGCCCCTACTGCCTGTAGTTGATATCAGAGCCTCAACTGATACTAATTTTTCTTTCATCCACTTTTTAGTTACATTACTTTAGCACTACATCTGCTGGCTGCAGTGGCTCTCCTGGAGACCAGTATCTCTGAAGGTTCTGAGTTCCTGTCTTCATGTCTTCACTCTCAGGCTGGGGTTGCTTCTCTTGCCCACTTACCATCACAATTGGACAAGGGAACCCAAAAAAGTCTAAATGGATTACTAGGATTTTGCACAAATTTCTCCCCGGCCCCATTCCCTGTAACATGGGTACCTCCTCATGAAGATCACTGTAACATAGTCCTGTCAGCCAGATTGGTTACTTTTTTTTGTTGTTGTTGTTTTGTTTTGTTTTTTGACTGCTGGTCTCTGATCCAAAAGCAAGAAAAGGGCAACGGCAGTTGCTACATCTTATAATTCACTGGGAGTCCTACTATGATTATGGCAACAGTATGTACATGTGTGTACTTGCACTTTTAACCACTTAGAAGCTATAATTTTGGGAAAGAGGAGTATACATTTTCCCAGTGGATCAATGGGTGATGGATAGTAGGGCCACTGCATCTTCCTACCCTTGGCTTTGAGATCTAAATATTAATATTCTTCTCTTTTGATAATAGTATCATCTAAGGGTTGTTGACTTGACGCATATTCTTTATTCTGGAGAATGGGAGTCCATTCCCATAGAATATCATCTTGAAGCCAGTGCTTGAACTGATCCAATACTATATCAGGCTGACAGCTTTTCAGTGGTGTGACATGTGATATTTCTAGTAGGTTCCATGATTACGGTCCCACTCCCATACCCCCTTTGTTGTAAAGTGGGATTTCATTCTTAAAATATGTTATGTGATACCACGTTCTTACAGATCAAACATTCCATACTTTCTTAGTTAGCGGTGCTGCCTCAGGCCACATAGGTAGAAAAGACAATCCCCATATTTAGAATATGCTTTTTTTTCTGTCTGATTAGAACAAATTACAGAATTAATTACGTGGAAACAGGCCAACGTAATCAATTTTCTGTTGTGTAGTCCATTGGTGTCCTCAAGGAATGGTGCCATATTGGGAAATCAGTTCAAGTCTCCACTGCTGGCAGTTTGGATATTTTGTGATAGCAATAGCTACATCAACCTTCTGCCACTGGGCCCATACATAGCCTCTCTTCTTTACTTATGGTCATTCTTTTCATATGTCCATCATGCCAGCATTGGTGTAGGTGTTCCTTGAGGCTGGCTGATGTAAACTGGCTGATTCATTATGTCTACTTGGTGGATTAGTGTCTCATCATGGGTATTCTTTGCTAGGCATTAACATAGGATACAAAGACCTTCAGGTTTTGTTTTACATCCATCCACATTTCCTCTACCACAGAGCACTTTCCCCAATCTTTTAATAATTCTTTCAGACTCTTGATACATCTAGCATAGCAGCTAAAATTGAGCCTACTACTTGGGTGAGTTGGGTTTTACTGTCATCCTTCACCTGAATCTGCAAGGCTTAGAGTGGTGAGTTAAAAATGGCAAATACCCCCACTACTACAGCATTTTGATCTGTGAAGGCAAGGCAACAACTTTTGCCATCTACCCAAAGGTACAATATGGGTAGATTGCAAGAGTTGTTACCTTTGTAACATTGTTTTTATTATGTTAACTAGGGTGACAATGTCAAAACTTCCTCTTTGTCTTTCTTAGTATCATATCCCTTAACATACAGGTCAGGAACCCAACTCTGGTTGCATCTACTGCTGCTCTTCAAACATTCCTCCAGGAACAGAGGATAACCAGAATTCTGAAGAAGCTACTTGCAAAATGTATGTGAAAACTGAATTTGAGCAGAACAAGGATATATTGTTAGGAAAATAAGGCTAGATACCAATACCTACTTCAAGGGAGGACTCATTATCTCAGCTGCCAGAAGACAGCTTCTAGCTGTCTGAAACATCAGAGTTGATTCAGCTACAGAGGACCACTTCACCTAAGGGCCTTCCTTTCCTGCAGCAGCCCATATTCCATGAACAATTGCAGTAAGGAACAGAAAGATCCAGCTATTATGGCAGGACAACTCTCATGGGCCATATATTCTCCCAAATTCCAGTGGGGTTGGCTGAAGCATTTTTAGGGTAGCATTACAGCGTAACTTCTCCCTCTGCCCACTCCGTCTTTCATTTCTATGATATAGGTATGTATTCTTAGTAAATATCGTGTACACCAAACTCTCTTTCACTGTCTGCTTCAGTTGAACCCAAACTTGGACAATTGTCATCTGGTTTTGTTTCTGATAAAAAGTTCAGTATCAGTGTAATATTTTATCCTACGAAGAAAATCTCTTTTCTTCTGATTGATTTCAAGTTTTTCTTTTAAAATTTTAAAAATAATTTTATTAAAAATTTTTGCAAAGATTTGGTAAATTGTTTTTGAATTTTATTTTAATGCTAGAAAAATCTCTGGAACATTCAGGAAGATAATGCAGCATATGTGGAAAATAGAGTTCTCGCCCCTAAAAAGCTATACATTTAATTTGGTTATGTTGTATAAAGCAATGTAATGTTCAAAAATCCCCTTCAAAAGTAGATAAAGTGGTTTTCCTAATGATAACTTACTTTGTAAGGAAAACTATCCATGTTATTATTTTCTCAATGTTTTACTTTGTCTCCAAACTGAAACTCATCCTTAGTGGGATTATCTGCATCTAACCTCAAAGCCCCCAACCAACCCCCTACCATCACTTTAGGATTTCGAGAAGGCTGGATACAGTTCCATGATCCAACTTCAATTATCAAATTTAATCCCTTCTGCTATCCCCCTCCAGTTTTCAATTTGTGATATGGATTTGACTAATTTTTAGATTAAATTGTTATCTCTATAAATTAAGAGGTCAACTAGATAAACACTATAGTCCTTTCTGAGTCTCTATTATTCCATGCAATATATCTCTTGGAAATTCTTAGTTTTATAACAGGGATAATACCTTTCAAAAATTTTTTATTTAAAACATCTATTTCTAAAACAAGGTAAAAAATATTTAAACATGTTTATTATTCAACAGTTTTGCTACAATGATCTTTTTTGTATTTTGCCTCCTAGGTTTTGTAGGCTTCTTAAATATAATATTTGATATCTGTCATTATTTTTAAAATCTGCTAGGTATTATCTCCTCAAATGCCACTTCTCCATTCTTACTGGAATTCCAATTACCTGATATTAGGCTTTACCATTCTCCCAAAAATTTCTTATGTTATTTTCTGTTTGTTTGTTTATTTGTTTGAGACAGAGTTTAGCTCTTGTTACCGAGGCTGGAGTGCAATGGCATGATCTCGGCTCACTGCAACCTCTGCCTCCTGTGTTCAAGCGATTCTCCTGCCTCAGCCTCCTGAGTAGCTGGGATTACAGGTGCCCACCACCACGCCCAGCTAATTTTTGTATTTTTTTTGGAGATGAGGTTTCACCATGTTGGCCAGGCTGGTCTCAAACTCCTGACCTCAGACGATTCACCTGCCTCAGCCTCTCAAAGTGTTGGGATTACAGGCATGAACCACCATGCCAGGCCTCTTCTGTGTGTTTTTAACATTTTTGCCTCACCATTTTTAAGTTAGGTTGTTTGCTTTTTGCCTCTTACTAGTTTTTTAACTAGCTAGTGTTTTTAAACTTGCCATTTGTGTTTTTATTTTGTCAGTGTGTATTTTTTTTTTTATTTTTCTGACCTATACTTGATCCTTCTTTACAATTTCTTATGGTGTGTCAAAATTCTCAATGACAAATAATTTTGGCTCCTGGAGTAACCTGTTCTCAGCTGCTTTTTCTGTTGTCATCATCCCCATTAAGGGATTTCCTGGGGGCAGAATTACAAGATAACAGAAAAAAATGAGAATAAATAAAAATGGGTATTTCACTTATTCTTTCTGAGTTTTCAGCATTTCTTTTTCCACTCCTTAAGTCAGACTAGTAGATTTCTTTTGGATCTTTCTCTGCAGTCTAAAGCTTACTTCCAGTTTTCAAATTATGCTGAGTTGAGGCCAGAGGATACCAGAGGTGGAAAACAAAAGGTAAACACAACACCGTTTCAATGGTACGTTAAATTGTGCCATTCTTTCTTTATCTAGTTCCTTGTATTTAATTTTCAGAGTTCCCAAATAATAACTCCTGTGCATCTATCTAAGTTTCTTTGATGAATTCAGTAAGATATAGAGAGGTGTGTGTTTATCTTACTCAGAATCAGCAGGATCTACCCCAACTTTATCCTCTATTATCTAGAATATAGTGGTCATAGTTATTTTTACATTAATGTCTGACAATTACATTATCTCCATTTCCTATGTTTCTGTTTTATTGTGTATGGCTGCTCTTGGTTTTCATTGCTTTATCTTATCTCTTAGAGTATTTTTATTGTGTTACTGATATTTTATAGAAAAATGTTATACAAATAAATAATGTTATACAAATAAAATGTTGACAAGCTTCTGTCAAGCAGTTAGTAGCAATAATAATCACTGATGATCTTAATTCAACTTCAAGAACTAGATGATTTGAAGATGTGAGGTCCAGTTTATTTCTAATTTGGCCTAATTCCTAAAATGTGGTTTTCACGATTTCAACCCACTGGACTCCCTTATCAGCAGGCCTTGAGTTCCAGTTTTGCCGTGCTAGCCCAGAAGTGCTAACAAAAACTCTATTCAGCTTCTCAGCCTTTTAGAATGTATTAATTATCAAATACACATACCTGGTAGTCTTTAGAGACTAATGGGAAAGGCTTGTGATTTCTTTCTAGTGGGTTTTCTCAACAGCACTCTGAGAAGGTTCTCAGTGAATGTCTGTTATTATTGTTGTTCCTTGCTTTAAGAAATTGTTGGGTCAATATGGCCATGATGACCACTTATTTTGTTAATTAAGAATAATGTCTAGTGTGCAGTATTGCATGCTGTGCTTTCAAGGTCACAGAAATACAGCCTTCAAAATAAAATCTAAGAAAATATAGAAAGAAGAACTTAGCATGGAATTCATGTCATGCATTAGAAGGAATTTATTCTCAATCAATTTAGGAAACATGACTCGCCATGAAAACACAGACTAAAAAATACAAATTAATTAATTATCTATTAAGTGTTAGTCAATACACTAAAAAATGTTCCCCAGAGAACTGTTCCTTGTGGTGGATCTGGATTTGTTCATACTGAACAAAGGCACTTAAACTTGGTCTGAATTTTTAGGTCCTTTTCACACCTTACATGGCCTACTTTGTAAGACACCATTCATTCATGGGTTTGTTCCTTGAATACACATTTATTTAACACATAACTTATTTCAGTCACTTTGAAAGACATTAAATATAAAGACTGTATGTAATAAATGCAGAGCTTGCTCAAAAGGAGTGTTTAACACAATGGACATTGTTATCAGTTCAATGAAAGAGGTATTAAGTGTTATTTTATGCTGCAAAAGCATGTGAGCCATCACATATATAGAAGTGAAAAGAAAAGCAGATAATCTTTCTATTTTAGGTATTAAAAGGTCATTGATTTTTGGGGGGTTGCATACACTAGACACTCAATATATGTTTTAATAACTCACTACAATTTTCCAACTAGTGCTATGATACACAACCATGTTTAAATCTTTAGTTCTAACAAAACAAGTGGAGTGTAGGTTACATGCCTTGCCTGCTTTAATTATTTTTTCTTTCCAACATTCACATAGTACATTGACATCACTGTGGATTCTCATAAATTTTAAAACTATGGCTGTACTGCAAATTTGGATCACAAACTCCTCCAAGAAACACTTAAATAGCTTTCTAATTATATAGAAATTATACACAACTTGTATTATTGCATGATTTTCCTTGACCTGTAATGTTTGAAAGTAGGCGTGAATTGAAATTCTGGGAAAAACATATTCTTTAACTTCAAAGTCCTTCAGGTATGCCTACAGCAGCCCTTCACTCCAGGGACTCTATTGAAAGATTGCATGGGCAATGGAACTGTCAGGAATGTTTGTCTCCTTTAAGCAAAGTTTTGGATTCTATTCACTTGACACATGAACCAAGTAGGTAGAGATCAATCCAGTTGCATCTGAACCACTGGAAGTCTCATTAAATGATACCATTTACTAACCACCTTCTGCCCCATGTTCTACTAACCTAGGGGGATTTCAGAAACATTGCCAAGGTCTCTTCTGTCTAAAAAAGGGAGGGGGGCAGTTATAATTCAGCAGCTTGGGTAGCTTCTTCTTTCATTGTGTGTAATTTATAAAGCCAGACAGTTGATATTTATTGTCTATATTGTGGCTAAACAACAATAAATAGCTTTTCTGAATTACTAATGTCCTTTTCCAGTCCATGCATTATAATACTCAGGGGTCTGTGTTGTTTTATCAAAAGGCAATAAAGATGAGAAGCAGAATCCACTAGCCTCTGCCCCTACCCCGCTAATATGTTGACTTACCTCTGAGTGCTTGTAGACTCTAGCACCCATCATAGGCCAGATATTATGCTGGGCTATGGGAACACAAAGTTGAGTAATACATACTACGGCTTTCAGGTGTGACCCATCTACTGATGGCCTTCCACTGATAGACTCCTTCCAGGAGTTTGCCTCTATCTCCGCCACATTTTTTCATCGAAGATTTAGAGTGCTTCAAATTTTAAGTATTGTATTTAAATCCTTGGGACTGATGGAAAAGTATTTTTCAAGACTATTTATGTTGTTTTAGATAGAACAAGATAGAATAATCTTGCAAGTGTCTGATATAAAAGAGTTTGAGGTCACTGCACCTAAACATTTGTTGTTGTTGTTTTTTAAGAAACAATCATTCTTGTTGCTTAACAAGAATGATTTCTCATAATAGTGACTAGAAAATATACAAAAACAGCTTAAAAATTGAAAGCCTCTGAGTTTACAGTACCTATATGTAGCAAGATTTATTCCTATCAATCAGGAAGATGTTAAAATAAATCTAACAGCACTTCATCCTAAGGAGCAGTTAAGTCAGATCGGTTGGAAAGAGAATTTTCAGGCTAGTAACGCTCTCTACTTTTTTCAAAGGAAGAAATTCAGTGCCCAGGTATTTTTTTAAAATTATTTGTCATCACAAAATTAATGTAAGCTTATTTACTGTAAAATCATGGTGAAAACCCTATAATTTTCCTCAATTAAATGTTTAATGTAGTAAAAGCTGTCTCAATAAAAGAGGTGATCAGTTTGTAAGGCAGCCAATGCAAATAAGAGCTTTGAACTCATTTAGGTTCCTTAACACAATGATAACTTGGGAAGCCTTAGGACTTAAAAAAAAACAAAAAAAAGAGTAGCCACAAGATTGGAGAGTCAGGAAGGCATAGGGTCCCACCACAGGAACTGTATAGGTTTAACCTAAAGAAAAAGAGACTAACAAAGAGAATGGTCTTCAAACTGTTGAAAGATCAACAAATATAAAACGAAGTAGACATATATAAGCCAGCACAGGACCAACTGGTGGAAAATAACAAGGAGAAAACACTTCTGTCCTGCATGAACGTGAGTTTCCTAACAGTTGATGCAGCCCAATTATAAGATGAGCTGCCCTCTGAAAAATACAGCCTCCCACACAGTATATGCTTAAGAAAGGACTATGTGGCTATCAGTCAATAACACTGTAAGAGGGTTTCCAGCAATAACACAGGAGATAGGTTTAGGGGCCTTTCATTAGAAAGTCTATTTCTGCTTCCTCTCTGTGTTTCCCCTCTCTCATTTTCTCTCATTCCAAACATTTAATTTCAGGTGGCTCCACCCCAATAAAGACAAGAGAAATAAGCATTTGGCTTAAGGTAAATGGACAAAAGAATGGTAGGAAGTATTTTTAGCACTTTGTGGAACCTCAGTCCTCTTGAGATGAGAGCCTTGGATACTTTCTTTTCCCAGAGCAGATGAAAACAACAGGCACCAATGTAGCATTTCTATTTGCTTTGCTTTAGGATAATTTATATTTCTTTAGTATAGAGGGCCTAGCACCATCATGCTTGGCTTAAAGCAAACACATTTTCCTGCATCTATACCATGGGAGTATATAGAATTTTTCCAAGAAAACTTCAAAAGAAACTCTTGAATGAATACAAACATATCTGAAATGCTATTTTTACCTCATTGCCTGAACATTGAACAATAATCAAAGCTTATGAAATTCTGCTATACTTGTGTTCACTAATTACCTCCTCCTCTTCAATTTCTAATTTCAGTTGAAGAGTTTCAAAAATAAGAAGAAAAATAGCAGAACAGTATGAGAAGACAGATGGCTCAGCTGATGACAAAATCCATTTGACTTTTACCACATTGGGAGATGGAGAGCTTGATTAATAGTTGGTCAGCCAATGAGACAATTTAACAAGAAAAGCTACTTGGCAAAATATGTCTTAACCAGATACAGCTATGTTATAACTGTTATAACTTAAATGTTTCTTGTGGAATCACCATTTTGCATCAGACCTCTTAAATATGCCTGTTTGAATAAGCTCAAACCAACATAAAACTGTTTCTAGCATTAAGTCCACAACGTAAGCCAATATCAATCTATTTTAACTGCATCTACTGATTAGGTAAAAAAGAAAATGCCATTGAAAACTTCTTAGTGCCTTTCCCTGAATGGCACTATAATCTATTACAATTACCAAAGAGAAAAAAGATCAAAGAACGCCTGCCTATACAAATTATTCTTAGAATACTAGAACTTCAGAGTTGGAAAGAGCCTGAAACTTCTTCTAGCCAATTACCTTTATTTTACAACTGAAATTAATGAGGCGCAGACACATGAAGTGACTTTGCTGAGACCACACAGACTTGGAGGAAAAACTATGTGAGAACATGAATTTCTGGTCTTCTAATTCAATATGCACTATCTTTTTTTTTTTTCCATTTTTTACTATATGCATAGTCAGTTATCTTAGAAATGTTGTTAGGATTATTATGGCTTCTTTTTTAAAGTTGGAGAGGACATTGCCCATTAAATTACATGTGCCTGTGCTTCAGAGTTATCCAAGATCGGAAATTGTATATCTCAAAATAAACATGTGAATAGCATTTTTAAAATGCTGTTTAATAGAACATATCTCTTGTAAAAGCCTGGGGATAACATGATAATATCTGTTAATTTTAACTAGATTAATTTCTTTTTTTTTTTTTTTTTTGAGACGGAGCATTGCTCTATCGCCCAGGCTGTAGTGCAGTGGAATGATCTCGGCTCATCTGGGCTCACTGCAAGCTCCACCTCCAGGGTTGACGCCATTCTCCTACCTCAGCCTCCTGAGTAGCTAGGACTACAGGCGCCCGCCACCACGCCCAGCTAATTGTTTGTATTTTTTAGTAGAGACGGGGTTTCACCATGTTAGCCAGGATGGTCTCCATCTCCTGACTTCGTGATCCACCCGCCTCGGCCTCCCAAAGTGCTGGGATTACAGGCGTGAGCCACCGCACCCGGCCTTAACTGGATTAATTTCTAAATAATAATTTGGAAGGGGGGATAATTTTTATATCATTGATTTACTTGTTATTATTGACCAGATTTTTGGTAACCTTTAGTTTTGTGAACCCATCATAATATTATAAGGAAAATAGCCAAGAGGAGCAATGACTTTAGAGCAGATGACCCCTTGAGCTAAACCTTTCAAGGGAAATAAATCACAAAAAAAATTATAGCAACTTTAGCTTCAACTTGAGAATACATGCTCAAAATATTATGGCTGTGGTTATTACACAATGATATA
The DNA here is from genome assembly GCF_000001405.40 of Homo sapiens. Classification (NCBI taxonomy): domain Eukaryota; kingdom Metazoa; phylum Chordata; class Mammalia; order Primates; family Hominidae; genus Homo; species Homo sapiens. The sequence continues at coordinate 117,578,769 of NC_000005.10, forward strand.
TTATGTGAGTGATTTCCTAGGGAACCTTCTCTTCATCTTGTTATTATTTTTTGACCATACTGGTTTATTTATACAATTTTATACTAGATGCTTCTCTCATTTCCTTGATAACACAGCTGCACACACACACACACAAATGTCTGTCTATTGCTGAACAATGTTAAGTAATATAATTTGACACATGTACATTGCAAATCAATAAATGTGACATTTTCTTTTCCTGGTACATTCTGTATAACTTATAACACAGCTTCGGGTATATGATATGCCAAGTCATATCTTCTGTATTATATCAACTGAATAAAGGAAAAGGCTGATATAATTTAATTTCTTAGGGTAGATTACTTTTGTCTCCACTTAAAAACTGCCTCTCATGTTTTGAATTAAAAGTTGTTTGTCAAATTGGATATACCAAATCATTGCATTCCTAGCTGTCTATATTAAAGACATTTAAACATTGTATATATAATTACTACATATACATTAATAATATATAATGTATGTATACACATCATATATATAATTAATATGAGAGAAACCGTTGATCATCTTTTTATAGTCCCTAGACTGTGACAAAAAATGTTAAATATATATTTTCTGAGTGTATATCTAATAGTCACATGAATGTGACATACTCCATAAGTCATCAAATGATAGTATTGTTTTGTGATTTTTTACTGTATGTAAAGTTATCACTTCCAAAAAAATCTGCATAATATTATTGAATTCTAGTTGATCCAATGCATGCAGAAATATTTGGAGGTAAATTGTACTAATTTAAGCAAACTTTTTAAAAATTCATCAAAGTAAACATGGATGTAAATATAGACAGAGAGTTGCATAGACGGATATGTGATAAAGCAAATATAACCAAATAATAATGTAGAATTTATAAAATCAGTAAATGGGTGTTAATTGCACTATTATTTTGATATGTCTGTATAGTTGAAATTTACATAAAAATACTGGAAAAACATAGATATGTCCAAGTTGTGGCTTACTACTTGAGATATTCCTTCAAATTTCTCTAATCTCATAGATTATTTTACAGTTTCAGTATAAACAACTCAAATTTTATGAGAAATTACTTGTGACTTAAACAGTTTTTAAATTTAATAATTATGGCCTCAGAAATGAATGACACTGTACTTTAGATCAGGTGCTTTCAATATTACCCTGTCTCTAAACACTGGTTTCAAAGTACAAGCTATCGATAATTAAAGAACTCTAATAGGCAGGTCAGCTCATCTCATTAGCTGGGAATACAGTATGCATGCAACTCATCTTGACAGCCTTCAAGGAAGTCAGAGCTGGTAACAATCACTCTTGAACATTATATCCACTGCCTTGTGGAATGCTGGCATCTCAGTTGTGCACTGGTTATGGTTCTTAAGCAGATCTGTTGTCCCTCTCTGGCAACCCCTTGGCCTACCTTCAGTGGCAGTGCAGTGGTCTGCCACCTAAGTAAGAACATCTGTCAGATCCTTAAACTCTCATAGTGAATGTCAATCCAACCATTTATAGATTATGGGAATTTTCCATCAATTAACATCAATAAAGCAAGTGCTACTCAACTTGTAAATATTTAATAAATGCCTTTTATGTCAAGCCTTGTGCGAGGCTCTGAACATAACAAAGATGAAAAAACTACCATGGGATATTGTTTTCATGAGAGACTTAACAAAAACTGTTGGCCACTTAGCTCCTATCTAAATTAATGTTTTTTTAAGAAAGTCACTCTAAGGCAAAGTCATCTACTCTATGGGACTCTCAGGTTTTAATTTAAATTATCAAGTGAGACCATCAGATAGCCATATATCTGCATCACATATGACATTTTAATATTAAACTTTCAGATTCAAGGGAAATAAAAGAACAACAACAACAAAAATCACTTCTGTCTTGATACTAAATCTGATTTAAAAGGCATGGTATATACATGTTCCCTGTAAGGTCAATAATCAATTAATTTTATAATTAAACACTAAAAAAATTGACTTCAGATAAAATTTGATACACCACTTCTATAAGACAATGAAAAATATGTAATCTCTTTTTACCCAGATTTCCAAGAAGTTCATAGTGAAATTAAATGTTTAATAGCTGTAACTATATTGTTTTTCTACTTCTGTTTTACTAGGCATAATATATGAGAGTTTAAAAGATGTCAAATCACTTTTAGGAAGAGGAAGATCATACAGATACCTACAATATTAGTCATGTGCATCAAATGCAGATGTGTCGCCCAATGTAGTTTAAATGATTTTAAATGAAGTTGTTGAGCTGTATTGTAATTTATTGCATTAAGAATGTTACCCTATACTTTCTGACTACAGTGTTACTTTCTCATGATCTAAAAGCCAAGACAAAATATGCACTGAAAATCTATTAAAGTTTTAAAATAAATCATTAAAATCATTTTAACAGGCAGAAAATTATATCTGTGTAAGAATTCTGAAGTCAACATAGGGTCACTTCATATTTATCAGTGAATGATGAGATGGCATTTATTTTCCCCTCACTGTGTATCTTGTAGAAAGTTGGAAAATTAGCTGCACTTCTTCTGATAACAGGTCCAGGAAATGAGATTTGAAAAGAACTAGAAGCATTTTCTGTGACAAACAGAGAGCTTCCTAATTCATTTTAGCAGCATCCTTGTTATTCATCTTCAGGCTATTATATAGTCTCTTGTGAGCCAGGGATAGGGCTATGGAAGAGAGGGAACAGGAGAGACAGAAAGAGAGAAAGAGAAGAGAGAAAGGAGGAAAAGAAGAGGAGGAGGAAAGGGAAAAGGAGAAAGAATTTTAAAGCGTTTATACTTTCATACCTTTTATTCAAATCTATGCATCTCATATACCAAAAAAATGCTGGGATTGCTAAGAAAATAATGTGAAGTGCAACACTCCAGGTCCCTCAGAAAATTTAGTCTTCCTTAAAATTATTATTATTATTGACTAAATATCAATTACATATAATAATTTCTGAAAACAGTACTTATTGATTGAGAACTGTAGGGCAGTCTCTCCCTCAGGTAGGTTTTGTACAGCTTATAGAATATGTTTCATTATGGTATTGAAATATTTTCATTCTCCCCAAAGGTCTTTTGTTAAATATTTAATCACTGAGGCAGTCCTAAATAGTCTTGTATCTCAGGGAGTGAAAGCCAATATAATGCTCCATTAAGTTTATACAAGTAATTGATCTATATTATCAGTCAATTATAAATGACTTACTTTCATCCATGCGTATTACTCTGGAAAATGTGAGATAGAGTTCACCTGTTTTATTCCATATTTCATAAATTTCCAAAACATAATACTTTTTTTTTCCTTTTTAAACATTTTTATTTCAATAGTTTTTGGGGAACAGGTGGTGTTTTGTTACATGGCTAAGTTCCTTACTGGTAATTTCTGAGATTTTGGTGCACCTGTCACTTGAGCAGTGTACACTGTACCCAATATATAGTCAGTTATCCCTCACCTCCCTCCCACTCTTCTCCCGATCCCAAAGTCCATCATATCATTCTTATACCTTTGTGTCCTCATAGCTTAGTTCCCACTTATAAGTGAGAAAATACAATATTTGGTTCTCTATTCCTGAGTTACTTCACTTAGAATAATGATCTCCAACTCCATCCAGGTTGCTGCGAATGCCATTATTTTGTCCCTTTTTGTGGCTGAATAGCATTCTATGGTGTATATATGCCAATTTTTTTTGCCCACTAGGTGATTGGTGGGCATTTAGGCTGGTTCCATATTTTTGCAATTGCAAATTGTGCTGCTCTAAACATAGGTTTGCAAGCATCTTTTGCATATAATGGATGTCTTTTGTTTTTATACATTTATTCTTTTTAACAAAAGGCTGTGGTTTTCTCTTCACACTTCTCTTCATAGCATAAGATATCATCAGTGAATCTTTCTGCATTGGAGGAAATTCAATGGTTTGTGAACAAAAGTCTTTGGCCTGTCTTCATCTGGGCAGGAGCATGACGATATGCAAATATCCATTTGAACAGATCTGTGATGCAAAAGAGGGGTAGTGCTAAGTCTTGTACTAAACGGAGCATGACTTGATATAGTTAGGTTTTCTCTCCCCACCTGAATCTCATCTTGAATTGTAATCTACATAATCCTCATCATGTCCATGTGTGAAGGGAGAGACCAGGTGCAGGTAATTGAATCATTGGGATGGTTTCCCCCATGCTGTTCTCGTGATAGTGAGTGAGTTCTAACGAGATCTGAGGTTTTATAAGTGGTTCTTTCCCCCTCGCTCAGCAAGTCTCCTTCCTGCCATCTTGAGAAGAAGGTGTCTTGCTTCTCCTTTATCTCCTGCCGTAATTGTAAGTTTCCTGAGGCCTCCCCAGCCATGCTGAAATGTGAGTCAATTAAACCTCTTTCCTTTATAAATTACCCAGTCTTGGGTATTTCCTTATAGTAATGTGAGGACGGACCGATAGTACAACTCATACAAGTAATCTCAGAAGGGATGAGACCTGAGAAGTGTCAGTGGGGCAGAATATCTGCTTTGTAATCTGAACATTGTAGGGAGGGATGTGATCAAGTGAATTTGTTAAGTGGCAGCATGATGCCCCATTTCTCTATGTCTCCACTATTCATGGCTTGTACCATCTCTGTCAATTGTGTATAGACACTGAAACATTGCATACTACTCTGTAAGCTAAGTTCCCTACCCTGGGTACTTCCAAGCCTATGAACTCATTTGCTAACCAAGAACAAGAGTCGCCCACCTCGAAGTGGTTTTAGAGATGAAATTTATATCATACTGAAGAGGAGTCAGGTGGTTTTAGAATCACTGTTTGGACCTTGAAATAGAAATGCTTATTCATAATTAAGAGCTTTAAAAGAAGCAGCAGCAGCAGCTGAAGACTTTTAAATCTTCTTTCCCAGTCATTCACTATGAAATCTAACTCCATTCCTGGAGCGCAAATTGATGGCATTTAGGACTTTAGTGTTTTCCAGGTATCAATAAATCCCTGCTAGTGTCTCTTAGTTTTTCTAATAGCCAGGAGGACCAGTAATAAAGTACAATAAAAGGTTTTAGTAAAAGAAGTAACATTTCCTCATATCATTAAGATACGTTTTAGGCATTCTTTTAAAATCTATTATTTGAGTAGCCCATATTTTTTACAATTAATTTTTAACCATTTTATTATGAAACGCTACACTACAAATTAATAACTCGTCATAATGCTAAATGATGAGTTAATGAGTGCAGCACACCAGCATGGCACATGTATACATATGTAACTAACCTGCACATTGTGCACATGTACCCTAAACCTTAAAGTATAATAATAATTAAAAAAAAACAAGAAAAAGAAAAAAATAAATAATTTTTAGTGTGCTATAATCATACGAAGGGATATTATATATCAATGACAATAAACAGTTACATGCAACATTATGGACAATTTCACAAAGATAACATGTAGCAAACTAAGCTAGACTTAAAAGAATACATGCTGTATGGTTCCATTTAAATTAAGCCCTAAAAATAATAAAGCTGAACTTTAGTTTTTAGCAACATGATTAGGTGATGAAATTATAAACAAAAGGAAGCAATTATTAGTGAGGTGGGACATGTACTAATGATTGATTAGAGGTTTGAGGGGTATTCTGCTATCTTACCAGTGTCTGATTACATGATACTGTTGGTGATAAAAGGTGACGGATTTGTCACAAACAAGGAGCTATTCATTTTGTTTAACATAATACTTAATCTCACAATCACTAGCTCTGTGTTCACAAGTGCCATATTATTTGTATCAAGGCATTATTAGTGAATAACCTTTGGTTCTAATATTGTAGCAGTTTACACTTTTTCTCCATTCAGTCCATCTCTGTTCACTCATGCTTTCCTTAAGTGGACATTTTTAATATTGGAAGATCCACCATTCCTTTCAAATTATTATTTTTAGTGTGTTCAGGAAATCAATATCAAGTGATAATTACTGCCAAATAGTTCTCTCGTAAATATTTAAATTATTTGATGACTGCCCAGGTAGAGAATAGGGTATTTTATTGTTGTTAAAAGTGAGACACACAGGAGAATATGTTTGGGCAATGGATCATGAGGTCAAGAGATCAAGACCATCCTGGCAAACATGGTGAAACTATGTCTCTACTAAAAATACAAAAATTAGCTGGGTGTGGTGGCGCACGCCTGTAGTCCCAGCTACTCGGGAGGCTGAGGCAGGAGAATCACTTGAACCCAGGAGGCGGAGGTTGCAGTGAGGTGAGATTGTGCCACTGTACTCCAGCCCGGCAACAAAGTGAGACTCCGTCTCAAAAAAAAAAAAAAAAAAAAAAGTAAAAAACAGTTTCAGCATTTGTGCTTAATGCCAAGCTATTCTTTCAGGAATTTCATTTGACATGTTGTTGATAAATCAGTGGTTCTGTTCCTATGAACAATAGCAAACACACCTAATCACTATGTGCTAGTCACTATATGTATGCATATATATATACACACACTAGTTACTATATGTATACATATATATATATATACAAACATATATACACATACAATATATTAACTCAGTTTAGCAAATAATTTATTAGGTGAGTACTATTGTTATCTCCATTTTACAATGGAGGAAAGTGAGGCACAGAGCAATTAAATAACTTAATAATTTAGTGGTAACACATGAACACAGAATCATGGTCTAAATTCTCTTGAAGGACAATTGAGTTTAAGATGCCCACCATTTTAAAATCAAAATACTGAAAAACAAACTGTACTTCTGTTTTTAGAAAATGTTTGAATATCTAATGCTTCCTATTTCACAATTTAGCTCATTTATTCTTGTCTACTCCTGAAGCTATTGCAAAGTTAATTTCTAGCTTTTACATTTTATTCCTAAATAATCTAGCTGTTGTGGTTTTAACAAATACAAAGATTTTTTAAAGTAAAATATATTGAGTACATTTAAGGTATACAACATAATGTGATAAGATACATGTATATATAGCAAAATGATAATTATCATGGAACAAATGAACATATCCATCATCTCACATACTTACCCATCTCCATCCCCCATTGCAAGAGCAGCTATAATCTACTCATTTGCCAACTCTCCTGAATACAAGACATTTTTATTAACTATAGTCCTTATGTTGTATGAAGGATGAACGAGTCGAAAGATCTAATGTACAGACACTTGAAGAAATCCTATGTTCTAATGAATTCAATTAATTAAATTTGTACGATATATAAGACATGACATTTTCATGAATCAAAACAAACAACATGGTCTCTGCCTTCAATGAGCTAATATTCCAGAAGGGAGAAAATTGTAAGAAGCAGGAACCTTGGGAGATAAATTATTATTGTGAAGTCAGATCATAGAAGTAGTTGCTCACAACAATGAATTCAAGTCAGAAAATAAGCAATGAAAGGGGTACAATCTCATGTAATATACATTGTGAATTTTTAACTAAAGAAAGAAAACAAACCTTTCTGTGCTCCACAATGTGGTTCCTTATGCACTACCATCATCATAAATGGCACTGAGAAGAGAGTCAAGGTAACCGCTGAGAATTTTCAGTAAGACTTACCAATGAAGAAGGAAGCAGAAAGACTAGGTATGAAGGCAGCATGAGAAGCCCATTTACTGAGGCACGATTTCAGAGGAGGTTCGTCAGAGGCTATTTTACAAGGTTCTTCATTACATTGGGTGAAGAGCTAAGGGTTAGACAAAGGGGATACTCCCCTACCTGAATGGAGTTGACCCTGGCAGTAAAGTCTGAGGTTGGAAAGCATGGTTTAGGACTCCAGCAAAGGCTGCCTAGGGCACCAGTCAAGCTCTCCTTCTTGAATCCGTCTTTTATCTTCAGACTACAGAAAAGCAGATAGAATAAATGAAGGTTTGTGGTAGAAGACAAACATGTATCAAAAAGCACTAAAGGGGCCAGGGAGTGTGCAAATGCACTAAATCAATTAGAAGTTCCATTCATAGAACCACAAAGAGACAAAAAGACATGATATGGCAGCTATGCCAAACACATAAGTAATAAGAATAATAGAAAAGAATATTATACAAACAGAAAACAAGGAATAATCAATTTGGAAGAAATTTAAGGCAAGGAACAAAAGAAAAAATCTCTATAGTATTTCTGTGTAATTTATCCTGTGGAATATTTTAATAAGATTATGAATTAAACAGGTCAATAAATGAAGAACAAGATAATAAAACAACAGACCGATGTGGTTGGAAACTAAAACTGAAAATAGTTTCATTGTAAGACTAAGGGGAAGAAAAGGAAATCATATATGAAAATTATATGAAGGGCTTGAGTTAATCACCTTATAAGCAGAGAACAAATTCAGAGATTTTTAGTAATCATGAGAAGGTGATAGATATGGAAACAGTCAACGATGACCCTGAGTAAAGATAATTGGTGACCCCTAAGGAAAAAAAATTCATTATAATGAAATGGCAGACAATTTTCCTGGAATAAAGGAAGGACTTAATATCCATTTCAAAGGAGTGCATTCAGTTACAAGAATGATACTACAATGGACACTGAGACATAGCCTGGTTAAGTTACTGAATTTCAAAGGTGTAAAAAACATTCCTTAGATATGCAAGCAGACAAAAAGCAAGTCACTTTTGTGGGTGAAAATTTCAAGCTGACCTCTACAACAATATTGAATTTCAGAAAACAGTAAAGCAATTTGTGTAAAGTGGTTGAGGAAAAGGTAAACCTAGAATGTGATGTTCAGCCAAGTTTTTGCTCAACTACATTACAACCACAAACAGACATTCTCATACATAAACTCAGCTGATCAATTTCCTCTTCTTAGTTGTTTTGCTAATGGGCTCCAATCTCTCACGGAGGTCACTTGTATGTGGGAAGATGCTGCTGTCATTCCCAAATACATAGCAACAGTAGATATAGGATTAGAAACAAGAAATGTTCAGAAAATTATACCACAATGGTTTTTAAAGTGTGGTCCTCTGACCAGAAGAATTAGTATCACCTGGAAACTTGTTACAAAAGTAAAATCTTAGACACCACCATCAAGACGTACTGAATCAGAAACTCAGGGGACGGGGTCCAGATATCTTTATTTTAGTAAGTGTTCCAGGTAATTCTCATGTACACTAAAGTTTAAGAACATTAGTGCTAGTGTATTCCTTTTACAGGTAGATGTTAACACTCAAGGATCAACATCCAAGAAGCGTCTAGACTGCCCAGGATTAGGATTTCAACAGCAGTCCTGAGTCTAGAGGGCCAAATACAACACACACAAACTCTGGGGCCAAGGCTATGTGCTGAGCTGTGTGCTGAGTTATTCCTGCAAGTATTGATCGACTTCCCCTCCTGCCTGTGAATGATTACATGTATTGAATGGAATTGGCCATTTAAAAAACAGCTTGCCATGACCAATTAAGTCCAAAGTCTTTATGAAAAACAACTGAGGAAACAGATGGCATATAAATTTGGAAATAGGTAACATGAGGGTGTAGAAAGAATGACAGAAAATGGCAAACAAGCACAGAATCACATGGGGATTATTATGGCTGTTGGGGCGATTGAAATCAGCCTTGAAATGAGCCAACATTCTGAAAGGAGCCCTTGTTACAGGTGTGATGTAGGCCAGCTGGTCTCCAAAGTCAGGGGTGCTTTCATCTGGGAAATACAAAAGTCAAATACTGCAGGTATGGAAAGAAAATATCGGGACTTTATATCCTTTAAAAATGCATTATTTGAGTGCATGATTTATAAACTACAAATTAGTACATTATAGAATAGATAAATATGCATTGAAAGAAATCCTTAGGGGCTACAAATGCGTGAATTGAAGACATTTCTTGGTGATGAAATCTAGTCAGCAGCGAAATGTATAAAAATATGAGACTATTAAAACCATTTAAATGAAAAGCCAAGGCCAAGTAATTGGGAGCATTATGGTTGCAGAACAGAAAGTGTTGTTTACCTTGAGAAAGAAAATATTTATCATACAACCCACATGGATTGGAATGTGGGAAGAATAATGATGGCTGTATTGCACAACTCCAGAGGGAGACATTCCTATAACATAAAATGTGAATTGTACATCCTAGAGTTACACAACGCAAGAACTTGAGGCAAAAAGGATGTGAGGAGAAGTATGGGAGAAATAAGTCCCTTATCATGTTTCATATCAAGTAGTCAACAAGTATTGTTTAAAAGTGAAACATACAATTGAAAGGAAATGATGGCTCTACACTTAATGATCTTTGTGTTCTTTCAGAAACTTAATATTTATATACTGATATATCGTGTATATGAATAATTGAAGTTTAAACTCCTCGTTGTCATTCAGCTGCTTCTATTAAATTCAAGTAAAAAGAAATTATATTATAGTTAAGAATAGCAAGAATTGTGAAATCTCACTTTTAGATACTTAGGTATCTGTGAGTAACTTTTTGTGGTCTTTCTTATTTTGCTGGAATTTTTAATAATATTTACCAAAAAAATCATTTTTTTTAATAAAAATCCCCCAAACAATGTCCTTTTTAGCACTGTGACCTCTCCTTCTCATGGCCTCTAGTACTCACTTTTACACTGAAGGCAATTTAGATTTATTTTGCCAGTCAGTAACTATTATAAAGCCATGAAGTTAATCTCACACTCAGCTATAAACACTAAGTCTTATTTCCAACACTTTTTCTCCATCTTAAGTTTACAGAACTTCGTATAACAAAAGCAAAATGAGCATTTAAAACGTCGTTGCATCCCTCTAATATTGAAAAAAACAGTTTTATACTCCCCAAATTAAAATTTTTCTGTCAGACCAAGGAAACAATACACACACAGGCATGCACACACACACACATATACATTTTTGACCCAGTGTTTTTGAAAAGAAAATTATAATTGAACTATATGAATAAATGGGGTTTGAATATTTATCAGGGAAAAATGTGAAACAGTAATATACCTTGTTTTAATTCTCAGTTTTTAGTATGTGCCGCACCTCCTTGAGGAAAAAGACTCCATCTCTCTGTTTTACATGAAATGTAAACAAGCTTGATTAGAGGCCCATGCACTGGCTTGATGATGAAAGTACCATATTGGAATGGCTTTCTAGAATATCAAAAAGTAATCTCAGAGCATCAGAATAGAATATTGGGATCTTTGGCCATGCAGCCTAAGGTCCTTACCCATCACTTACATTGGAATTTTGTAGATAAGTATATTGTTCCAATTCAGAAATAAATAAATATTTACTCTAGAAATCTTGGCGGGGGAGGGGGAGTCAGAGAAAGCAGCCCACTGAAGGAAGAGAAAAAAATCAATCAATACATTTATTTTATTATTTGCACTTATTTTATTATTTGCATTAAGGGAATTATGTGTCAATTATAAGTGTGACTCAAAAGTGAAGCCTCGGGATTTACATGCAGTGAACTCTCATATGCAACCAAACCTTTTGCTCACTTAATTGGTTTTAATGTTTCAACAACTATTTATATCATATCTCTTTTTTCAAGATGAGTAAATTGAAGCCTGACCTTCAGAGAGATAACAAAACTTGTCTAGGAACCCAGGGCAGATAGGAGTAGAGGTGGGATTCAAAAATTGGCATGGCATTTTTTAAAGCCCAACCTTAAACTTCTATCTAGTGGTCCCCAACCCCAGCTGCACAATGCAATCTCAGGAGAAACTTTTAACAAATCTTGACGTTTATACCAAACTTACAGAGATTCTGATCTGATTGGTCTGGAATGTGGCTCAGATATTGGCAACTTTTAGAAAGTCTTCCAGGATATCTACTATATAGATGGTTGAGAAGCAGGTCCAATGCCAAGCTATCGCACTCTTTGATGAAAAGTCTTGTAGCTCACCACAGACCCCATTCCTTTACCTTGGATCTAGATGATAAATAGTTTGCCCTGGGTTAGTTTGTCTGTTACAATGAAGACACTGGACATTCCCATTCCTCATGTCAAACATATTTATTACCCTAATAAATTTTAGTACAAGAAATGGTATCATAAGCAAACTTATCAAATTCTAGCTAATGTAAGTTCTGACAGTATTTGCTATAAAGACGGGTCCAGCATCAAAGTAAATCTTTGACTGCTGCCTTATTCCAGGTATTTTCAAGGTAGAGAGAGGGGGTGCTGAAACAATTCTTGTTAGCTTTGCATTTTATTGAGATTTTTATGAAGTTCTAGGTGTAAGCATTTACTCACATCAATAAAGACAATATTAATACAGCTGCAAACTTTTTCACTCAAATAAGAATCAGAGGGAATAAAATAAAGAACATCATTTGCTGGAAACTGAAACTGTTTTGTAGGTTAATTTTTGCCAGAGAAGCCAAACCTGTGGGTAATCAGCTATACCCTCACCAATAGGTGTCACTGCAGTAAAGAATTACTAGGTGAGGTCCTCATGTTGAGGCAGTGAAATCAGATCTAGGTGCTAAAAGTAACTAAAAATTTTTTCTCTTTCTGTGTCTCTCCCCACACACACGCATATACATATACACATATATATATACACTATATAAGTATATAGTATATATACTATGTTTATATACTATATATGTATATATACAATATGTTTATATACTATATATGTATATATACACTTACATATATACACTTACAGTGTATATATACACTTTTTGTATATATATGTGTACATATATATACACTTTTTGTATATATATGTATATATGTGTACATATATACACTTTTTGTATATACACTATATGTATATAGTGTATATATACATATAGTATATACAAATATATACTATATACACTATATAGTATATACAACTATATACTATATACACTATATAGTATATACAACTATATACTATATACACTAGTATATACAAATATATACTATATACACTAGTATATACAAATATATACTATATACACTAGTATATACAAATATATACTATATACACTAGTATATACAAATATATACTATATACGATATTATATATGTAGAGTATATATATGTATATATATACACATATATATAGAGAGAGAGATACACACAAATTGTACAAATTATCTTTTGTTACTTTTCTCCCACTTCCCTCTCTTTCCCCTTGAGTTATTTCTAAAGAGGATATCCTTAGTGTAAAAGAACGGTGGTGAACAAAGGGAATTGGAGGTATAAATAACATACAGGCACCGTTGGACCCGTGCTCTTGGTTTTCATCTGCCATACTGATGATTATTAGTGCTGTTCAATTCTTTTTCATTCTTCAATAATTGTATTTTATTTTGTATGTACTTACTCTGTACTACATGATTTTTTGAAACATATAGACATTGTGGAATGACTAAATCTGACCACTTCACATGTGCATTCTCTCACACAGTTATTGTAATGATAACACTTTAAATGCATTCTTAATATTTCTTTCTTTTTTTTATACTTTAAGTTCTGGGACACATGTGCAGAACGTGTAGGTTTGTTACATAGGTATACACGTGACATGGTGGTTTGCTGCACCCATCAACCTGTCATTTACATTAGGTATTTCTCCTAATGCTATCCCTCCCCTAGCTCCTCACCCCCCAACAGGCCCTGGTGTGTCATGTTCCCCTCCATGTCCATGTGTTCTCATTGTTCAACTCCCACTTATGAGTGAGAGCATGCGGTGTTTGGTTTTCTGTTCCTGTGTTAGTTTGCTGAGAATGATAGTTTCCAGCTTCATCCTTGTCCCTGCAAAAGACATGAACTCATCTTTTTTATGGCTGCATAGTATTCTATGGTGTATATGTGCCACATTTTCTTTACCCAGTCTATCACTGATGGGCATATGGGTTGGTTCCAAGCCTTTGCTGTTGTGAATTGTGCTGCAATAAACATATGTGAGCATTTTGTGGAAGACATTGTGGCAATTCCTCAAGGATCTAGAACCAGAAATACCATTTGGCCCAGCAATCCCATTACGGGGTGTATACCCAGAGGATTATAAATCACTCTTAGTATTTTTAAGAGTACAATATATTGGCTGGGTGCGGCAGCTCACGCTTGTAGTACCAGCACTTTGGGAGCCCAAGGTGGACAAAGCACCTTAAGTCAGGAGTTCAAGACCAGCCTGGCCAACATAGCAAAACCCCATCTGTACTAAAAAAATATAAAAATTAGCTGGGAGTGGTGGCGGGTACTTGTAGTCCAGCTACTCAGGAGGTTGAGGCTGGGAGAATTGCTGAAACCTGGGAGGCAGAGGTTGCAGAGAACCGAGATTGTGCCACTGTACTCCAGCCTGGGAGAGAGAACAGGACTCTGTCTCAAAGAAAAAAAAAAAAAAAGATACAATATATTATTAACTATAGTCACTATGTTGTACAGTAGATCGCTTAAACTTAGTGATGTGAACTCCTTAGGTAAGTAAATTGTGCTATCTGAAAACTGTTAGCACTATAGGCTATGTTTCACCATTTATATTGTAATTTCATCTACTGTTAGGGCTATAACATATGTTCTACGCTTTACATTGCAATTTCATGTACTTTTGGTCTTTCTATTATGGACTTGGCAATACTACATTGTATAATACTATATTGAGGGACTGACATGAGAAGGATGAGTGGAGTTTCTTCATAACATTCACATATATCGCCCATCAATGCTCTGCTTATTGCATGCATTCATATACCCACTAGAAAATAAGACCGACTTTGAGGAAACAAGGCGAGCCTTATCCATCTTTGAATCTACCATTGTGTCTAATAAGGTATTTTCAACTCAACATTTACTGTTTGGGACGCCTTAAACTAATTTAGGAATTGAGTCTGGTGAAAACCAAACTTAAGTCACTTCAAAACAAAAGGAAACAAGGAAGCAGGGCCCACTAGAGCAGAGTAGGCTTTCTTGCCTGGGAATCATTCCACGCACTCATGAATTGGGTTCTTTCTGGGAATGAGTAAAATAGCAACAAATCCAATTTGATCAACTCTGAAAAAGGACGCATATCTCAAGTAAGAATGAAATAAATTGTTTCAGAAAATGTAGAACCCAATATTCACATTGCATTTCTTACAGAGAAGGTGCTCACAAAGCAGAAAGCATAATTTTGAAACTTCGAGAGAGTCAAATTCTGGAATGCAAGGTTTGGACAGAGAAAATCTGAAAGAACAAGAAAGAGAAGCAGAGAAAGTGCCAGCTTGAGATGGATATAGATTATTAAATAAGGTTGTGGCTGTGTTGAGACTTGAGAAGCAGTTAGACATCCTTTGCTAGTTTGGGGAGTCTCAGTGAGAGAAAGGACAGAACCAAAGAGAGAGAGAAGAGAGAAGGAGATGGAGAGAGGGAGAGAGAGAGAGAGAGATGGGGGGAGAGAGAGAGAGAGAGAGAGACAACAAAGAATTAAACTTAAGGAGAATAAAAACAAGAAAAGGGAATGATGATGGGATTGGTACAACAGCACAAAGCCAAGACTAGTTTCCTATTATCTGAGCTAGTGGGTGCCTGGCAACTGGAAAGAACAGGAAATATCTCACAGGCTGAAGAGGAGGAGGAGGTGCTGCAGTGAGCGGCACACATGGCCCACAGAAATGTCAGCCCAGAAGGAGAGGCAATTGTCCCGCTTCCAAACACTGCCAAGGCTTATTCCTTAAGGTTAAGCTTGGAAAAATCACAAAGTTCTGTGGATATGAATCATATTTAGAACATTGTAATGATTTCTTCATCTCTCAACATGTGAACTAGTTGTTTATGGAACTAATTGTTTCTTGGAATTCAAACGTTTTGGTTTCATAACAAATACAATTTGTGGAAATATTTCTCAACGCTTCCAGATCTTATTGGAAACCACGATTAGAAAACAAATATATCTTTGGTCTGATTCCTTCTTTAGAGGGGTAACATATATACTATTTTCAGCAAAACCAACAATATAAATCATCTTGTTGAAATTCTTTGAAGTGCTAAAAAAAAAAATCACGCATCAAAAATAAAAATAGATTAAGCCAGGTGCGGTGGCTCATGCCTGTAATCCCAGCACTTTAGGAGGCCGAGGTGAGTGGATCACTTGAGGCCAGGAATCTGAGACCAGACTGGACAACACGGTCTCTATTAAAAATACAAAAATTAGCTGGGCATGGTGGCAGGCATCTGTAATCCCAGCTACTCTGGAGGCTGAAGCAGAAGAATTGCTTGAACCCCGGAGGCGGAGGTTGCAGTGAGCCAAGATAGTGCCTGGGAGACTCCAGCCTGGGAGACAGAGAGAGACTCCATCTCAAAAAGAAAAAATAAATAAAAATTAAAAATAAAAACAGTTTATACATACACTAAAAAGCGACAAGACAACATGCAGAAATATTTTTTCTTTTTGTTGAGCATAAAAGAAAGGTCCTTTGTATCAAAATATTAGTTAATTTTGTTAATTTGCTGACTGGTACAAATGAGAATGCCCAGGCTTCTCTAAAGGAGATTGAATTAAGAGATGTTTTTCCATCTCAACAGATATATTGAACTTTCAGTTTGCAGATATTTTCTAAGAAAATGAAACAAATAATGTTCATTTGCTTCTGATAGCCTGCTTTGACAGAAAACACGCAGTAAATGATTCTGAAAGAAGTGCCACTCTGAAAAATACTGGCAGTCATATCATTAAAGAAACATCGCTAGACTAATTCAGTCTCCAATTATATTTTACATTAAATGAAGGTAACTCATTATTCATTTGCTGTAAAGTCAGCCCTTTTAATACTTTCAGGTCTTTGGGGCATAGTAGTATTTTCTTAACAAACAAATATTTGCAACTTTGGTAATATACTGAACAGTACCTTACAGTGCCATAGAATCATCAATGTCTACATGTGTACCTATACACATATACATCCAGACAGTTAGCTTAAATGATGAGAATTCTAAACTCACAGATGAACTTCAGGTTATCTATTATTGTGGTCAGATTATTTTTTAGCCATCATACTACTTTTAGAAGAGCATTGGAAAATTCATTCAAAATTGCTGCTTGAGTACAATAGTGAAGGTCTAAATACTGTTGGTAAGGAAAGTGAAAAAGTGAAAAGCAGTTTTTAATTTATAATACATTTGTGCAAAACTGGGAGGAATAACATTACATTTCAATTGAATGAGCTATCAGTCTATTGAACCGTACAAATCTCCTTAATATATTTGGATCCTGTGAAGTTCATTTATGCAAGAAATGTCAAAACCCATTTAAGGGAATGATCAATGAAATGTGACAGCACCATGTA
The DNA here is from genome assembly GCF_000001405.40 of Homo sapiens. Classification (NCBI taxonomy): domain Eukaryota; kingdom Metazoa; phylum Chordata; class Mammalia; order Primates; family Hominidae; genus Homo; species Homo sapiens. The sequence goes on from NC_000005.10 coordinate 117,595,989, forward strand.
ATAAATAAAACAATAGGTATCAATCACAGAATGAAAACAAACACTGAGGCAAGTTATGCAGTTGAATCCTGCCCCTTTTGTTGTATTGCCCTCTTGCCTGTGCCTAGTAGTGTAGATGAACACACATGACCACTACTTAAATTGTTTTTTTACTTTAGAGAGTGATCCATAAATGATATAGATATTAAAATGTGGGGGGGAGGGAGAACAAACAAAACAAAAACAATGCATTTTGGAGTGTCTAGACCTGGATATGAGCCCCTGCTTTACTCCTTATTAAATGTGTGGAACTGGGCAAGTCACATTCTCTCTAAAATGGAGGTAACAGTATTTGACTCTCAGTTGTTACAAGAAAAAAAAAAGTACATATGTGTGCTTGTAACTGAGAATGTTTGTCATGGAAGGTCCATGCAACTGTTGCATAATGTTAACTGGAGAATACACTACTTTTTGTATTTTTTAAGTCATTTATTAGAAAATAAATGTAAAGTATCTAACATGAAAGTTAGATGATTTTAGTGTGTTCTTGTTTTGTTTGTCTTAAAATTATTCATCTTTTCCTAGCCTCCTTGTACTAAATAAGTTGTGTAGCTGATGTTTGATGAGACATATATAAGAACATAAACTATGGGTGTGAGTTGCCTGTGCTCTAACTCTGGCTTTATCTGATTTCAAGCTGTTTGACTCTGAAGGGGTTACCTACCTTGTCGAAGTCTCAATTTTTCATCTATAAAGTACGGATAATGACTCATACAGTCATTGTCAGAATTAAATGTGTTGAGCACATATAAACATGCCTCACACATGTATTCAGTAGATGTTATTATTATCATTCTTAATGATTCCTGGAGAGTACCACAACCAAACTCACAAAGCTCATGCAAACACTAACTACAGCTAGCCAGGCTAGCTGTAGGAGGGTCAAGAAGCAATAAGGCATTTTATGCCATAGTGGATGGCAGGGAAAATTCCTCTAACTTCTATCTCATCAAAGTTCTATTTACAATTGCTTTTATGGAGGAAATCCTCATAAAAGTATATATCCCAGATGTATTTATGAGTGCATTATTTGGTCTCAGGAGTTGAGCAGAAGTACAGTAACTTGAGACTAATTTAGAATTGTTGATTTTGAAAAGTTTCAGATGGAGCCCAAACCTGTCTCTGCATATAAGTTACACAAATGATTCTAATAGAGTCAGCCTTGAAAGCCATTATGTTATTGTGTACCTAGAATATGTTGGTTATGGTAGGTGGTAAAAGATACAAATACAATTAAAACTGTCCATTTCTTCAGAGAATCTATTAGAGAAAGGCAAAACAAATAAATTACACTGCTATTATTGAGACCTGTGAATAAAAAGATTTTTTAAAATTCAGAGAAAAATACAAGTAACTTTTTCTAGAATTTCAGAAAACATTAAATACCTTGTGAATGCTATGGCTAAAGAACAATTTTTCAAACAGATTCTGTGGAAGAGAGGGTGTGCCAAACATATGAACTGCATCTGTAAAGTATGGAGGCAGATGATCTGATGACTTATTAAAGCAATCTCAAGTAATAAAGTATACTGAGAAAGAAGTATGTCTATGTATGTGTAACAGACATTAGTAGTTTATAAACAGATAAGGGACACAGTCATAGAGAAAACTGACTACTGTATGGAATAGATAGTTAATTCACTTAAGGAAAGAATAGAGCTGGAGGCCTAAAGGAAGCTGTTTAAAAGCTTGGAGAATACCCGATTAAGCCCTGACCTAAGATGGCAGCAATGGAAATGATGAAGAGAGAGCAAATTTTAGAGATATCTCAAAGCTAGAAATGGCATGACCTTATGACAATGACAGTGCGATGTTAAAGTAGAAGTTCAGTATTTTTATTAAGGAAGAGGATAAATGATATATAAAATACTGAGAGAACATGAGAGAATCACCAATTTTAGAAATAAGTGTGCATTTACTATCTTAATCATGAGGAGCTTGTTACTAGAATTAGGGCACCTCTTCTCTTTAGCTTTCTCCTGAGGTCCAGAGTAACTTGGGGAAGGCAGAAATAGTTTGGCCTAAAAATATATATAGAAACTTACAGAACACTGCCACATATGGGGCTGGCAAAGTATAATCCACACTGGCCACAGAGAAGTAATCGTTTAGAAATAAATGTATGAGACCAAATGCTATAGAAACTTCATATAACTCCTGCAAATTGTACCCATAGCTGACCCATAAGGCCATGATAATTAACACTGAGCTTTTGAAGATACAGCCCGGTGAGAAAGAGAGAAAAAATAAATAATTTAACATGCACAATGCTGGGAAACTTTAAAAGCATATGTATGTTATTGTTCAGTATTCACCTAAATTAGAGTTACATATTCATTTAGTACTTGCATTTAAAAAGGTCTCATTCAGGTCCAAACCACCGTATTTATATTTTTATATCAGAATAGCTGAGTCTCTCTCAGAAGTTTGCAAAACAAAATAAGCAAGAAAAAATGAGGAAAAATAAAGCCATTCAAGTCAATTTGTTGGTTTAACAAAAGGGAAGATAAGGAAAGGCATCATAAAGCTGTTAAATCATAAAATTTCTTTTACATAAAGATAGAAAAGCTCACTTTGGACCAAGTGTTCCTGTCTATCTACTTCAACGTAATTCTATTTGAATATTAGTGTTTCTTATGACAGAAATGAGAATTCCAAGTCTTCACCTCTTCAACTTTAATTCATTAATAATTCCTAAGTAAACCTGGAAATATTTGGAGACTTGAATTTTGGTCTATTAAACTGTCTGGGAAGGTGACATTTAAAAATATGAATGGATGACTTAAGTAGAACCCTGAAAAAAGCAATAGGTAATGCTGATAAAAAACTGCACTGCAAGAAACCAATCCAAAATGAAAAAGGAAAGAAGGAGACACCAAGATGTCAAATAATAGGAGTGGGCGGTGCTTTCCCTAGATGCATTGGAGTTCAAAGATGAGTTATTTATTTATTTATTTATTTATTTTTTTATTGATCATTCTTGGGTGTTTCTCACAGAGGGGGATTTGGCAGGGTCATAGGACAATAGTGGAGGGAGGGTCAGCAGATAAACAAGTGAACAAAGGTCCCTGGTTTTCCTATGCAGAGGACCCTGCGGCCTTCCCCAGTGTTTGTGTCCTTGGGTACTTGAGATTAGGGAGTGGTGATGACTCTTAACGAGCATGCTGCCTTCAAGCATCTGTTTAACAAAGCACATCTTGCACCACCCTTAATCCATTTAACCCTGAGTGGACACAGCACATGTTTCAGAGAGCACAGGGTTGGGGGTAGGGTCACCGATCAACAGGATCACAAGGCAGAAGAATTTTTCTTAGTACAGAACAAAATGAAAAGTCTCCCGTGTCTACCTCTTTCTACACAGACATGGCAACCATCCGATTTCTCAATCCTTTCCCCGCCTTTCCCCCCTTTCTATTCCACAAAACCGCCATTGTCATCATGGCCCGTTCTCAATGAGCTGTTGGGTACACCTCCCAGACGGGGTGGTGGCTGGGCAGAGGGGCTCCTCACTTCCCAGTAGGGGCGGCCAGGCAGAGGCGCCCCTCACCTCCCGGACGGGGCGGCTGGCCGGGTGGGGGGCTGACCCCCCCACCTCCCTCCCGGATGGGGCGGCTGGCCGGGCGGGGGGCTGACCCCCCCACCTCCTTCCTGGACGGGGCGGCTGGCCGGGCAGAGGGGCTCCTCACTTCCCAGTAGGGGCAGCCGGGCAGAGGCGCCCCTCACCTCCCGGACGGGGCGGCTGGCCGGGTGGGGGGCTGACCCTCCCACCTCCCTCCCGGTCGGGGCGGCTGGCCGGGCGGGGGGCTGACCCCCCCACCTCCCTCCCGGACGGGGCGGCTGGCCGGGCGGGGGGGCTGACCCCCCGACCTCCCTCCCGGATGGGGTGGCTGCCGGGCAGAGACGCTCCTCACTTCCCAGACGGGGTGGCTGCCGGGCGGAGAGGCTCCTCACTTCTCAGACAGGGCGGCTGCCGGGCGGAGGGTCTCCTCACTTCTCATATGGGGCGGTTGCCAGGCGGAGGGTCTCCTCACTTCTCAGACGGGGCGGATGGGCAGAGACGCTCCTCACCTCCCAGACGGGGTCGCGGCCGGGTAGAGGCGCTCCTCACATCCCAGACGGGGCGGCGGGGCAGAGGCGCTCCCCACATCTCAGACGATGGGCGGCCGGGCAGAGACGCTCCTCACTTCCTAGATGGGATGGCTGCCGGGAAGAGGCGCTCCTCAGTTCCTAGATGGGATGGCGGCCGGGCAGAGACGCTCCTCACTTTCCAGACTGGGCAGCCAGGCAGAGGGGCTCCTCACGTCCCAGACGATGGGCGGCCAGGCAGAGACGCTCCTCACTTCCCAGACGGGGTGACGGCCGGGCAGAGGCTGCAATCTCGGCACTTTGGGAGGCCAAGGCAGGCGGCTAGGAGGTGGAGGTTGTAGCGAGCCGAGATCACGCCACTGCACTCCAGCCTGGGCACCATTGAGCACTGAGTGAACCAGACTCCGTCTGCAATCCCGGCACCTCGGGAGGCCGAGGCTGGCGGATCACTCGCAGTTAGGAGCTGGAGACCAGCCCGGCCAACACAGCGAAACCCCATCTCCACCAAAAAAATACGAAAACCAGTCAGGCTTGGCGGCACGCGCCTGCAATCGCAGGCACTGGGCAGGCTGAGGCAGGAGAATCAGACAGGGAGGCTTCAGTGAACCGAGATGGCAGCAGCACAGTCCAGCTTCGGCTCGGCATCAGTGGGAGACCGTGGAAAGAGAGGGAGAGGGAGACCGTGGGGAGAGGGAGAGGGAGAGGGAGAGGGAGAGGTAGAGGCGATGAGTCATTTCTTGATACACTGAATATAAGAAGCTGTTAACACATTAGAAAGACTCAGAATTTTTAAAGTACTAGCTAAATATTATACTAATAAATACTTCTCCTACATTCTTTAATTCTAGGATTAAGATACAAGGGCGTCTCAGGATCAATTATTTGAATAAGAAAAATTGAAGTATCCTGATTTGTATTAATTGAAGATTCCACAGGCAATTAAAAATTATATTTTATCCTGTCCTGACTTATGCCAGCAACTGCTAGAAATTATGTAGTGTTAAGCCATGGGTTACAGAAGATCTATATAATTTACAGCAAATAATTTACCTTAAGGAATAGCAATACAATTTACTACAATCCATTGTCATATGGGCACAGATAAGCTATTGTTCTTACCTTATAGAGGGCTGAGGCCTATATAAACTATCATGGTGGGAAGATCTCTGGGATCCAGAGCTTAGACACCTAGAGTCGAGCCTATAGAAAAGCTTCAGAGAGCTGCTTAGCGTCTTAAACTTTAAGTGCCTATGCAATGGGGGGAAGAAAAAAGAAAGACTTTGAGAGTGGAGAGATAAGGGATTGTGAAAATCAACTCTCCTTTTACATAAATAAGGCTAGGATTGGCCCAGGGCTAAATGGACCTTATTATGTTTACCTCTCAATTTGGAGTTTAGATGGCTGAAGTTATTATTCATTGATATTAACTCAATAAGAGCATACAGTATAAATTTTAAACCATACCGAATATTCAATCACATAGAGATAATTTGTCACAGGGAAGAAAGATTGACTGGTGAAGCCTAAACTCTATATTTTTCCTTCTTCCTGTTCTAAGGAAGCTCTATTTAGCTATTTTTAATAATGTACAATGCACTGTCATACAATGAGCTCCTCCAAATTTTAAAGTTTTAGTTTATAAACCATGTATTGTTTTTGGACACTAGAAAATGTCAGCAACTGAAAATCCACCAGAATAATAAGGTTTAGGAGCCTTGTCAGATGAACAAAAAATATGTGGTCACTTATATTCCTGTAACAATGGTAATCAATTATACAAATAAAAGATGTTCAATTTATAATGAAAAAACCATATATATTTTAATAATTGATGCATGTACAGTATTATGGTTTAATATTAGTGAGAGATTTTGTGACCCACCTAAAGAATGCTAAAAAATTATTAAGCGATATAACATAAACCTGACTAAGTGGACACACCTCACACATTTCTGTTCAATAGAAGACTAAATATTTTTTAAAGAATTATTCATTATTTTAATTTAATAATTTAGAGTACTTCAAAGTAAAATTTCAATAAAATTCTGACATATTGGTAATGCATAGGGATTTTTTTCAGATTTCCATCTGTGAAGAGGGTGGAGAGAAAAAAAGAAGGAATTTCTAAGTTTGCTTACCAATTAGAAATTGTGGCTAAGAATGCTAAAGTAAATTTTTGTACTGCTAGCCAGTGTTGACTACAAAAATATTTTAGTTCCTAGCGTTACACTGAAACTTTTCATATCATGACACACATAAAAAATGAAAATATTTTTATAGCAATCTAAGGGTAGTTAACAAGGCTCTTTATGTCAAAAAAAATCTACCAGCTCTCCCAAGGGTTGAGGGGATCCATATCTTGGCATACCTGTCACCCAATTCCTGTACGCCAGGGTGTCCTATCACATACCCATTGTGAATCTCTGGCTAATGGACTGGACCACCTGTACTTTCTCATGAAAATGACAGAATCTGTGAAAAACAAGTATATCATAAATAATTAATGAAAGGCACCATTGCAGTCATAGCTTATATTCCTCCTGGATCATCTTGTGAGTTGATACTTTGGGAAAAAAACCTGATAAAATGGAATCAAGGGAGGGGGGAAAATCAAATGCATTATGAATTATCTGTGCCTTTCTCATGACACTTTTTGTGTGTATTTAAAATTTATTTAAGCTATTTATATACTTGTCTTATCACCCATTAACAATCAAATCCCTCAGTACCAAATCACTCTGAGATAAGCTGCTATCTATCACATATACTATGTGTTTAATAAATAATTATAAAGATGAAAGGGAGGCTGGTGAAAGAGAGAAAAAGATATAGAAAAGGTGAAAAAATTAGTAAAAAGTAAGAGAAGGTGGAAAAAGAGAAGAGAGGAGGAAGAAGGGAAATACATTTAGAACTTTTGCATATTTGTTTTGAATCAATTACAAATTTTATTAAGAGTCACCAATAGAAACCATGACTCCTACTATTAAGGTGTCTCCTCTCATTTAGCAGAATGCTAGTCACATAATAGAAATACAATATTATAGATAAAACAAAAAGTAGAGAAAAGGGAATATGAAAAGAGCGTCATTTTTGACTCATTTGATGTAAGAGCTGTCTATTTAGTGAAATGCAAGCCCACTGCCTGTGCTGAAATATGGACTTAGAAATAGGAGTTTACAGCATTTTGCAAACTGCTGTAAGTTTCTGGTGAAACAGCTAGGTTCAATACTTCTTCAAACTGATGAAAACATTATGGATGAGTCCTTACGTTTTCTCAGTGAAGTTGTCACAGGAGTTTTGTGTCGATTCTTTGTTACTTAGTTCCTGCAGCTAATCCATATTAGCCAATATCAGTTTGATTTAAAAAGAGCTGATAGATATCACACCAAAGCCTTCCGCATATAACAAGAAATGAGGACAACAACTTTGTCCTTGACTGATAATGTTAATTTTAATAAGAAAAATAGGAGAACCAGAATATATAACAGTAGATTAACTTTTGTTTTTCTTACTCTTTTCCTGAGACATAGCATTTAAGTAAAGTGGAAAAAATTTATGTAGGCACTTTCTCTGCATATAGAAGTTATAGACTTTTACTTGTTTACATCATTTACTACTCATTGATTTAACATGCATATGTTTATGCAATTCTAAATGATTATTTCAGATACATTTATTAAACACTAAATCTTCCTTAGTGAGAGTCCTATGTGAGATTCCTTAAAATCTCACATTTTGCCGTGTATAATTTCTTAATACTTATATATCAACCTATTCTGATAACTTATTATATACATTCAATATAGAAGCTCAATATATTTTTAAATAAATAATTTTTTAAATTTAAATTTTTATTTTATATTAAATTTAAATTTTAAATAAAATACTTCTTTGGAGAAAATGAATAATACCCTGATAGTCAGTCTATATAAAGTATTGAAAAAAAGCTGCCCCAAATAGGAATATTAGAAAAGTTGATTTTTATCTTAAATAGATTTATCATAATTTAAAATGTTGTATGGTTTTCATCACTATTTAAATACACTGGTCAGATTAGTGTGAAAAAATCAGTAGCCATTATAGATATTATTTACCATAATAATAACTCATCATCATCTGCAAGCTCATGTCAGATATTTAATGCTCAGCATGAGTATATGATGCAGCGTTGATGACTGGATGGAAATTACTATTCAAGATTTACAGATAGGGAAGAACTGAATATTAAGTCTAAGAATGTGCAGTGGCAAAAATGTAAAAATATATTTAGTGTGATTTTTATGGTAATGCTTAAATAAGAGGATGTTCACCTTTGTAAGTTTTGTGCTTATTGCTCTCACATTTTGCAGTATATAATTTCTTGATATTATAATTGACTCAAGCGGGATAACTTAAAGGTGAAAATAAACTCATAGCATTAGGATAAATACCTAATGTAGATGACAGATTGATGGGTACAGCAAATCACCATGGCACATGTATACCTATGTAACAAACCTGCATGTTCTGCACGTGTATCCCAAAACTTAACATGCTATAATTAAAAAATAGAAATGTAAAAAAAAACCACAATGAAATATCATTACACATGTATCACAACAGTTAAAAAACCAGTGGCATCATCAAATGCTGTTAAGGATGTAAAGAAAAAAAAAAGAAAAGAAACTTATGTATCTGGCAAACATGTATATACAGATGCAGTGACACAGTCCCTGGCTTGGAGGAGCTTGTCGATATTCTCATATTTGGTATATAATCATAACCTGAGCTTTCAGTGGTTGACCCTTAACAATATTTTACTCTTTTGTTTTAAATTGTGATTTTAAAACATGATAATGACAGAGTTGATCTAAAGCTGGAGAACTCCAATCACAAAGCTTGTGTTTATGAACTCAGCAAAAATGACTCACTGTTGACTGTCTAACATTATCTGTGGTATAATGCAGTCCTTGAACATGAACACACCTCCTTTCTGTGCTAAACATCTTCATTGTGTATGGAAGCAGAATGCATCCAGTTCGTTGAAGCTAGAACAGTTCTACCACATTTAAGCTGAGGGTGTTGGCAGGAACCTCCCAATATATTAAGGACATGATACAAAAAGATACATAGATGTCAGCCAAATAAGTGGCAATGTTGAAAAATGCTGTGTAGGTACTTTCTAGGAATTGAGGCTATCAATTCTGCATAGGAAGAATACTATATTGAGCATAGGTGGCAGCCATCAACATGTCAACAGTAAGCACATGATTGCGCAGCCTTTGTATATAACAATGCTATTGATCCCCCATCAGTGGGGCATGTACTTGGAGCTATTTGGGCTGAGAGTGATGATGGATCTGAGCTGGTCTGCCTAAACTTCATTACAAACAACTGTTTGCAGTTGGGAAACAGATTTTTCTCTCCAAATGAATCTACCTGGCTTCAACTGGCCTATTTCAAAGCATTGATCCTACCTACTAGCCCTGACCTGTATGTGGCTACCTCTGCTCTCATATGTAGAAGTTGTTAGATAAAGTATGCTAATGATTTTAGATTCTATACCCTATCTAAATTATAATTTATATTATAGAAAACCTTTTTCATTCAAAGGCAAGGGGTTCAGTCCTCTTGGTAGAATAGTGCCCTTAAAAAGTGCACTTAAAAAGAATGTTCAATCAGCCTCCCACTCCCCTCTATTGAGGGCTGACTCTACAATTGTGCACTAGAAATAGTGACTATAGTGGTGTCAAGAGGTTTATGTTTTTAATATGCTTATATAAAGACTGCAGGTGGTGAAGTTACTTAGATGTGCTTCTGAATCCCAGTATCATAATATACTATCTTGAACGAATTATTCCCTAGGCCTGAGTTTTATTATCAATAAAATAAAAATACTGACAAAATATAAGTACAAAGAAGACAATAATGCTAATGTTTATTTCACAAGGTTGCTGTAAAAATTGAGTGATAATCGACTCAGAGTAAGCACTGGAAAGTTTTAGTTCACATATTCATCCATTCAACAGTATTTGTTGAATGTCTACTCTTTTCCAAGCACTGAGCCAGAGATAGGTTTATTTATGGTGAATAATACAGTTATGGTCACTACTATCTCTTGAAGCTTATATCCTACTTCCCTTTACCCAGTTCCTCCATATTTCTTCCCTCCTGTAGTATTCAGTGTTGATAATCTATATGAAAGCATGAGAAAATTGTTCAGAAATATCTCCTTCAAAATTATAAGTCAAGAAATTCAAAGCAATTGATTTGACAAATTATTTCCTATGGTTAATATGGTTTTTGTACTAGCCTACTGTCATTTATAATGTAATGCCTAGATTATAGAAATATAAATATATTTCTTTTCTAAATACATTTTTGCAATTTTGCCAACATAGTCTAAGTCTCATGGCATTTTTGAATTTCCTGAAAGGGTTTTACAGTAATTACGATAATATAAATATCAGAAAATAGGAAAAGCAATGTGAAATACTGGCTAAAATGTGATCCGTGATATGTTTTTTTATTCTTTCTGTATTGCAAATCTGTTAATATAATAAGAGGTAATTCTAACCTTGGGGATGTGAGAAACAAAAAGTAACATGACAAAACATTTGCATGTATTTACTATATGCCAGACACTACATTTTTACATATTAACTCTGTTAACCCTCATGGCAACCCTATGAGGTAAGTATTATTAATTTGACAAGTTACAGATCAGAAAAGTGAGACATAGAGTTTACATAACTTCCCTCAGTCACAGACCTCTTTGATTCCAAGAGTCAGGGCCAGGATTCACATACAAGCTATAGGGCTTTCAGAGGCTATGTTCTTTTTCCAGTGCAGATGCTTTAGGGGAAATAATGCAACAATGCACCCAGCGATTACATTCTATAGTCTACGTACATATCCACACATTTCAACACAACCCTACTTAAAAATGAAATTGGATGAGCATTGTAATCCTCCACTTTGTTAGCTTGGGACATTTGGCAAGTCCTAGCCCACATTAGGTCTATGTAGACCCTTCCTCAGAAATCTCGATTTTTTAAAAAAAATTCCATTTCTTTTTAATATGGTTACCTTGTTCTAACTGTTGCATTTGATTTCCCAGGATGTTAATTTCCTACTGCTGCTATAACAAATTACCACAAATTTTGTGGCTTAAAGCAACACACATTTATTATCTTATATTTCTGAAAGTTGTAAGTCCAACATGGGTCTCATCAGGCTAAAAATCAAGGAGTCAGCAGGAATGCAGCATTTCTGGGAAAGGGGGCTGGCTCTAGGAGAAAATGCACTCCTTTATCTTTTCCAGCTTCTAGAGACCTCTTGCATTTGTCGATTCATGGATTTATCCTCCATCTTCAAAGCCAGCAATGCAGGAGATCCTATTTCTCTCTCTGACTTTGGCCCTCCTATGGTTCTCTTATAAGAATTCAAGTGATACATTGGCCCAGACAGAAAATGCAGGATAATTTCCCCATCTCAAGACCCTTTACTTATCACATCTACTAAGTCCTTTGGCTATAGGAGGCAACATATTCAAAGGTTCCAGGATAAGGAAGTTGGCACCTTGGTCGGGCGCGGTGGCTCACGCCTATAATCCCAGCACTTTGACAGGCCGAGGCGGGCGGATCACGAGGTCAGGAGATCAAGACCATCCTGGCTAACACGGTGAAACCCCGTCTCTACTAAAAATACAAAAAAAAAAAAAATTAGCTGGGTGTGGTGGCGGGCGCCTGTAGTCCCAGCTACTCGGGAGGCTGAGGCAGGAGAATGGCGTGAACCCAGGAGGCAGAGCTTGCAGTGAGCCAAGATCGCGCCACTGCACTTCAGCCTGGGCGACAGAGCGAGACTCCATCTCAAAAAAAAAAAAAAAAAAAAAAAGAAAAGAAAGTTGGCACCTTGGGGACCATATTCAGCATATCAGACCTAATATCCCTGAATAGTCAGCACTTCCTGGATGCTATTGATTTGTTCTGTAACATGATTGTTCTTCTTTCAAATAAAGCTGATTGAATGCAAAGTAGCCTTCAGTGACTCCAGCCATGTCTTTCAAGTCCCTGCTGCTTCACGTGATCCTGCTGACTCTGGCCTCCTTTGTAATTTAGACTCTTCTGATTAGAAACCCCAGGGGTTATATTAAAAAATTATTTTACTTTATTGAAGACAGGATTCACAATGTAGGCCCAAACTGTAAAACCCTTTATTAGTCTCTTTACCAGTTTTACATAGAAGAATGATAATTCTGACACATACTGAACCCACTAAGCTGAGAGTTGTAGCTTCTCTGAGTCATGACATGCCCACATGTTACAGAATTCAACAGTTTATACTTTGATGAGACCTAAACTTGGTTCTTCAACATTCCCATGGTATGCTTGTTTCAGATGAGGTGATAACTTACATTGGACCTTTAAACTGGGCACTTCTACATACCAAAAATATTACAGATATTATCTGATTTGACCTTCAAAACAATTATCCAGATATCTGAATTCTGACTACTTCTGGAGCCTTATTTTCTAATTCCCTCTCACTATTTCTCTGAGCAGCAGCCACCCTGGACTCTTTGCAACACCTCAAATACATGAATCATGGTCTCTACTCAGGGCCTTTGTACTTGTTGCCCCTCAGAAGTCATATGGTGTCTTCATTTTACTCAGGTCTGTTCAAATGCCACCTGTTCATGAAGGATTTCTTGGTCATTCCATCTATCATAGCCCTCAACCTCTCTGCTTTTTCCTCAGGGCGCCTGTCACTAAGGTCATTATATAGTCTTCTTAAATGTCTTCAGTGTCCCTATCCTCCATTGGCATTCCAGCAAATCAGGGACCCAGCAGAATTACTGGCACAGCATTCTGTCACCAGTTCCTAGAATCATGCATGTCACCAAGAAGCATCCAAGAGATATTTTACAGACCAAAAAAAAAAAAAAAAACCCTGAGGTTTAACTTAAGCAACTTTTCCAAGGTTACGATTACTGCAAATCCATGTCCAATATATTATATCGCAGCTGTTTCCAAAATGCCATTCAATCTTATTGTCTCGGTTCATTTTCAATGTGGGAGTATTCCCTCAATTAGACACGAAAATTCACATAGACATTTGGACTAAAAATGACTCATAAACTTTTATGCTTTTTTCTGATATAGAAAATATAACATAAGGATTTTGCGGCTCTTACCTCCAGTTTGCCTTTCTCTGCTGGGTGCTGCCTTCTGGCCTCTGCCATGCCAAGATCCTATTATCCCCCTTGATAGTATAGAGTCTGGGTCTCCAGCATGATGTGCTCTGCTCAATCCTGGTGCAAAAAAGCAGTCAGCCCTACTCAGCAGCTCATTTTTTTTTACATTTATTTTAAATTAATATATAATAATTGTACGTATTTATGAAGTACATAGTGATGTTTCAGTGCATATAAAGTATAGTGATCAAATCAAGGTAATTAGCATATCCATCATTTCAGACATTTAACATTTCTTTGTATTGTAAACACGTAATCATCCTTCAAGCTATTTGAAACTATGTGTATAGTTCTTAACTAGTTATCCTACAGTGGTATAGAACACTAGAACTTATTCCTCCTACCTAGCTGTAATTTTGTAACCTTTAACAAATTTCTCCATATCCCTCATTTCCCTCTATCCTTCTCGGTCTCTAGTATCCTCTAGTGATAGAAACTATGTGATCAACATTTTTTAGCTTCCACTTATGAGTGAAAACACGCAGTGTTTAACTTTCTGTTCCAGACTTATTTCATTTAACATATTGTACTCCAGTTCCACCCATGTTTTTGTGAATGACAGGATTTCATTATTTTTTATGGCAGAATAGTATTCCATTGTGTGTGTGTGTGTGTATGTGTGTGTGTGTGTGTGTGACATTTTCTTTATCTATTCATCTGTTGTTGAACACCTAACTTAATTCCATATCTTGGCTATTGTGAATAGTGCTGCAGTTAACATGATGGTGCAGATGTCTCTTTGATACCCTGATTTCCTTTTCTTTAGATAAATGCCCAGTACTGAAATTGCTAGATCATATGGTAGTTCTATTTGTAGATTTTGAGGAATACCCATACTATTCTCCATAGTGGTTGTACTAGTTTACATTTGCACCAACAGTAGACTAGAATTCCTTTTCTCTGCATCCTTGCCCTCATCTTATTTTTTTGTTGTCTTTTTGATCATAGCCATTCTAACTGAGGTGAGATAATACCTCATTGTGGTTTTAACTTGCATTTTCCTGATGATAAGTGATGTTGAGCATATTTTCATGTATTTGTTGGCCATTTGTGTGTCTTAAGAAATATCTGTTCCAATTATTTTGTCCATTTTTTAAAACTTTTATATTAGATTTAGAGGTGCATGTGCCAGTTTGTTATGTAGGTAAGTTGTGTGTTGTGGGGTTTGGTGTACAGATTATTTCATCACTGAGGGAATCAGCATAGTATCCAATAGGTAATTTTTTGATCCTCACCCTCCTTCCACCCTCCACCCTCAGGTAGGCCCTGGTGTCTGCTGTTCCCTTCTTTGTGTCCGTGTGTACTCAGTGTTTAGCTCCCACTTATCAGTGGGAACATGTGGTATTTGGTTTTCTGTTCCTGTGTTAGTTTGCTTAGGACAATGGCCTCCAGCACTATACATATTGCTGGAAAGGACATGATCTCATTTTTTATGGCCGCATAATATTCCATGGTATATATGTACCACATTTTCTTTATCCAGTCTACTGTAGATGGACATTTAGGCTTAATCCATGTCTTTGCTATTGTGAATAGTGCTGCAATGAACATACACATATATGTGCCTTTATGGCAGAACAATTTATATTCCTTTGCATATACACTCAATAATGGGATTTTTGGGTTGAATGGTAATTCTGTCTTAAGTTCTTTGAGAAATCACCAAACTGCTTTCCACAATGGCTGAACTAATTTGTATTCCCATCAGCAGTGTATAAGCATTCACTTTTCTCCACAAACTTGCCAGTATGTTATTTTTTGACTTATTTATTTATTTATTTATTCATTTATCTGTTTATTTATTTTTGGAGACAGAGTCTCACTGTCACCCAGGCTGGAGTGCAGTGGTGCAGTCTCGGCTCACTAGTAATAGCCATTCTGACTGGAGTGAAATGGTATCTCATTAGGGTTTTGATCTGTATTTCTTTAATGATTAGTGATGTTGACATTTTACCCATTTTTTAATCGGATTTTTTTTTTTTGGCTATTGAGATGCTTCAATTCCTTATATATTCTGATTGTTAGTCCCTTGTCACACAAATTGTTTGTAAACATTTTCTCCTATTCTGTAGCTTGTCTTTTCACTCTGTTGATCATTTTCTTTGCTGTGCAGAACCTTCATAGTTTAATATAATTCTATTTGTTTATTTTTGCTTTTGTTGCCTGTGTTTTCAAAGTCTTATTCATACAGTCTTCATATTGCTCTAGTGAAGGGAATGTCTTCCTATGAAGCAGAACTAGGTGGTGAGGTTTCTAATATCACATATTAAACCTATTCGAATATCTTCATCTCTCCAAGTCTTCTAAACTTTTCATCAATATTCATCCAAGGCAGTTCCAGTAGCTTCTCCTCATTTACCTGAGACTATTGAGCAAGCTCCAAGAGTCCTCCTGCAGTGCATTGCGTGGCAAACAGACCCAAGGATGGCCTCTACACATCCCTGCCTCCTGGTCCTCATGATCTTGTATAATCCCCTAAAGTTGAGTGTAGGAAGCTCTCATTTGCTTCTAACAAATAGATGATGGCAAAGGAGAGGGGATGTCATTTCTGCCATCATGTTATATGACATTGTAATCCATCCTGTGGGGAGACTTTGCTGGCTTAGATAAAGCAAGCAATCATATTGTGAGCTACCCTATTCAGGGACCATAGATCAAGAAACGAAGTCCCTTGGTCCCACCATCCACAAGGCACTGAATGCTGCCAATAACTGCAGGAGCTTGAAAGTGGATACCTCCTCAGTCAAGTCTTGAGATAAAGCTTCCAAATTGAGTGCAGTGTATACTGCTGGTATGATGGGTGCACCAAAATCTCACAAATCACCACTAAAGAACTTACCCCTGTAACCAAACACCACCTGTTCCCCAATAACCTATGGAAAAAAAACCTTCCAAGTTAACACCTTGATTGCAACCTTGTGAGGACCAGAAGCAGAGGAACCAGCTAAGCTATGCCTAGGCTACTGATCCACAGAAACTAAGATAATAAATATGTGTTTCATAAGCTACTAAGTGTGTGATACTTTATAATGCAGTAATAGTTAATACAATTAAGAAATGTTCCACATGTCCTTGCCATAACACAACACTTTCCATCATAGAGTAGCACTCACATGTTAATACATTCTTTTTTATCCAAATTCATATGCCACACATCCCCAGTTCAACATTTTCAAGAACCAGGGAGTCTGTGGAAGTCTAGGGTTGGGAATTCAAAAATATTAGATTTTATCTATCCAAATGTCAGGGTCCCACTATTTTCCTGAACACTCAGTCCCATATTTAATCTCATGTGAGGTTCTACTACCTTATAATTAAATCTTGAGGCTGCTTTTCAGCAATGAACCCTATGGCTGCAGGTGATAAGTGTTTCTTCAAACTCTGCTAATGCAGCCTTCTCAATTTCATAGCATACTTTGAATTGATTATTGGTTGAACTAAGCCTGTCATTTTATTTTCGTAAGGTTTTCAGAGCATTAAAGCAGGTGATTCCATAATTTATCTACTTATTGCTGACCCTATAATGCTCAAGTCCCACAGCTGCCACATAAGCCAATGCTTTACTTTCATTTGTACTTCATCCCAATCTACCTCTCAATAATTGGGAAGCTACAGAATGTCAGGGATTAACATCAACCCACACTGTATCAGCAACAGAGTACTTATCAATATTTCACTCTTCAATGCAGTTCCAAAATTTCATTCTGTGGGTCTGTTTTCTGCCTAATTTGATACTTTACTGGATCAAATGTTATTAGCCTATGTTTCCTCTGGAAATCAGAACTGGGGCAAAAGACTTTCATGGGGCAGTTTATTTTGAATAGTGATCAGATTGAGAATGTAGGGCCACAAAGACCAAAACAGAAGAGGGGCCAGGAGTGGTGGCTCACGACTGTAATCCTAGCACTTTGGGAGGCCAAGGCAGGCAGATTACATCAGGTCAGCAGTTCAAGACCAGCCTGGCCAACATGGCGAAACCCCATCTTTACTAAAAATACTAAAATTAGCTGGGCATGGTGGCGGGTGCCTGTAATCCCAGCTACGCAGGAGGCTGAGGCAGGAGAATCACTTGAACCCAGGAGATGGAGTTTGCAGTGAGTCAAGATCATGCCACTGCACTCCAGCCTGGGTGACAGAGTGAGATTCCATCTCAAAATTAATAATAAAACAGAAGAGAGTTATTGAGTTAATTACTGCTGTAGGTAGCTGGGACTTGGTCCAGATGGGAATTTCTATAGAGCTAATTAGGATGTATTTCAGAATTGTTCACCTCAAGGATAAAAGGCATTTGGATTTATACATTAGCTCCCATCACCCATCTGATGAGGGTCAGCATGCATGGGGTGAGCATGCATCTTTCTCACATTTCTGAGTTTTCTGTAAAAGTTGTGATTTCCTTGTAGGCTCATAGGTATTCCACACCATGTGGTGAGAAATACCCTGGCAAAGAAGGTGAAAGAGGGACAGAGGATGTCTAAGGTTAGATGTTGTTTGAGTAAAGCTGGGAATAATCTTTTTGAGTCACACTTTCTCTGTTTTAGAACTGTGTTGGTTAACATTGTTCTATTGTCTTCTGTTGTATACTTTGTTCTATTTTTCTATTGTATACTTCTGTTGAGAAAGAGGAGAATAGCTTAATGTTTCTAATTTCTACCAGTTTGATGTATCTAGATGATTGAGGAAATCTATCTTAAGCTTTGAATTTTGAATTTCATTACCTTCCCTGGAACACAGGGAGTCATTTTTAATTGTAATTTCTATACTTTCAAGTTTTAAAATAAATTTGAATGATTTAATCAATTCGAAGTGTTCTCCACTCTAGCAGATAAATTACCATGAAATTAAATTATTTTCTGTCTTTATTGTATACTTTCAAATTGTTTTCATCTTGTAGGATCATCTTTATTGACTTTAATTATCTTAAGATTATCCTTTATGTCACTTTATGGTTTATAGCCATACCCATTTTCTAATTTGATTGTTATTTTATTGTTGAGTTTTGAAAATTCTTTATATATTCCAGATCATAGTTCTTTTTTAAATATGTGATTTGCAAATATCTTCCCTAGTCTGTAGCTTTTCTTTTCTTCTGAACAGTCTTTCACAAAGCCAAATATTTAATTTTGATGAGGTTCAGTGTCTCCATTTGTCCTTTTATGAACCTTTCATGTTTATTTTCAATTGGAGATTTTAAATAAGTTGATATGCTCACAGATTAATTAGTCAAACAAGAGACATTGACTATAAGGAAGCAAGATGAGATTACAGAAGAAAAATACCTGAGGGGGAAGTAAATTCAGATCCAGAACATGATTAAGGATTGGCTGTTGGCAAGCCTGAGCTAAGTTCTGAGAAAATTACGTGAGAGTCCTACATATGAATACTGGGGAAACACAGAAGCTCCTCCCGGGGCTCAGGGTAGGGTTCTCAAAATCTTTAACCAGCAAACCTCTTATATTAGACAAGTGAATAAAAAATAACACATATAAATTCACTAAGGGGGCTCACTAAGGGGGTACATACTCTTGAGTTCTACGTGGGTGGTAACACTCCTCTGTCTTATATCCTGTGCTCTTATATTAGAGTTTCAGACCTTTACTTGAAACCATGAATGTTGTACTCTGTGTGTCCAATGACTGGCAACACTCAGGGACTTTGATCTTAGCTGTTCTCTCTTTTGATACTACTGCAAACTGAAGCAAAAGTTGTCACATTAGCCAACTCATAAGGAAAGTGGGGTTTAGGTGTCTTGTTCAGACCCTGTTGTGATTGACTACAAAGATTGTGCTTTTTAAAATCTTTCCCCCACCAGCTGTTGCTCATAGAATACATTCCTATTTTACTGGTTATTTTAAATAGAGTGCACTTGTGTTTAAAAATTCAAGATGTCATATATATATTTTTGTCACCAAATTTTTCACTATCAATAGGACATATCATTTTTATTAGAAAAATAGAGTATACATCCTAACTACTTGGTCAAAGCAAGTAACCACATTCTTTATTATATCTGAACTGATCCAAAAATAGCAAAGTGGCAGATGGAGATTTTTGTAGTCCTTGTGATTGAAGAATGAATCAGAAAAGTACTTGTAAAAAGCCCACAATCTTTGATGGGAAAGAGATTAACTGGGCAAAACATATCTGCAATGTCACTGAGTAACTTTGAAGAATGTACTTTTTTTTTCAAAGTGGCAAATATCAATCTTAAAGGTCTTAAAAATATTTCAGACTGTTGCTCTTCTGGATTACATTTTAAAAATTTCTTTTTGGAAATACGAAAGTGCAATTATTGTTTTAAGCTCATGAAAAATACCCACAAGTAACAACTAAGCATTGAATTCACTTTATATAATTTTAAGGCAAAAATGTGAAACCGTATTTCCAACTTCCAGTGGGTAATATAAGAATCAGAACTTGTAGTGCATATCATGTGATCTAGTTTAACACTAGGAAATTTTTAACATTTCAGGGTGGTAATTTATACAAAAGGGGTCACAAGGATTCCAGTTTCAAGCTAGGATTTGAATTTAATAAAATTTGTATCATTAGTTTCATTCCTTGCATACTCAACAATGTAAGAATTTTTTAAAGTGCTTAAAAACACACAGTAATTCTTGCATTTAAAGATGCATCTTAATTCTTTACCTAATTTTTAGTCTAGATAGTTACTAATTAAATATGTCTCTCTTCCTTGCAGATGTGTAAGGAAATTAAACCAGTTCAGAGACATGTTTTAATGTTACCTAGAAAACATAAAACATCTGTGATTTTATCATAATGTGAATCAGTTTCTACTCCATTATTAATAACCAACTAATAACCAATTATGGAAAAACTACTGTATTTTCTTTAGCACTTAATATACTATCTTGCACATTTTAAGTTCTTAACAATTGTCCTATGTGATTTTAACAAGAAATGGGTATGAGGTTTCCTGTCATATTTTAGAAATGAGGTTGTAACTCAAAACATGGTTTTCAAAATATTTAACTATGCATGTTAAACTGCTCTTCCTAAGCAAGCATTATGTGATTCTTTTAAAATGGGATTGTAACTATACATTTTATGGGAAAATTTAAAAACCAATATTATTAAAAGAGAAGGGGAAAGATAAATCAGATGCAACTAAAAAGGGAGTGTGCTCAGCTAAATATGGAGATGGTGCCTATAAGCATGCAATGTTCCCGAATAAGTATCAGATAAAATAGTACAAAGGTATTTGAGCTATGAATCCTTTATAACCTTTGTTTTCATTATATCTGACTTTGGCAGGCAGGAAGTAAAGGAAGGTGGGATAATTACCTGGGACTTCAAGCTGAGTAGCACTGGATGGATAAATCCATGTTGGACTTTATTAAAACCCAGTAGCATAAAACATATGAAAGAGAAAGCATAAAGTGCCAAAGAACTCCACATCAAGTGTTCACTGCCTGGTTGATAGAACTCAACAGTTACCATTTTGAAGCACATTCTGTAAAACATTATATCACTCTATTTCTTATATCTCCTCTCTAGCTGTATGTAGTGTTTTTGATAAGAGAAATAACACAAAATAAAATCAGCCTTAAAAATTAGCATTTTTCAAAGCTCTGACGACCATGAACTGATGTAGTACTTAGTTTTTCCTGTTAATAATTCTATTGATCATTATGATATATATGATGAAACAAACTTTCTTTAAAATGTAAATAATTATAAGGGCTTGAAAGTATACATGGCAATACGTTATCATGTCTCAATGTGCAGTAAGACAAATTTGTTTGGTTTTTAGCATATCTTTTGTGGGAAGAATATAGAAATTAATGTGTCTTTCCATATGATACTCTTCTGAGTGCACCCTGATTGATTCACAAATAACTTCCCATAATTTGACACTTCTTTGAAACAGGATTCCATAACATCAATTCATTTTTGATTTAATAATTTTTCTAGAAAAATATTGCCTATTCACTTTTTCTTTTTATAAATGTTGCCTGAGGACCTACTATGTGAAGCATTATTTGCAGCTGTGGTGAGGAATATATGAATGGATAAACAATCTCCTTCCAAGCTTAAAGAGAAAACTACTCAAGTTAAAAACAAAGTCTTTTAAACAAGGTAGTAAATACCACCATGGTCTGCTTCCAGGCAGGATCTATCCCCTCACAGAAAAACACAAATAATTAGAAATAGGCATTTCCTAGGAAGACCAAAGAATCTGTTTAGCGTAGCTTTTAGTTTAAAACTCATCGTCATTGAGTGTTTGTGGTCATTGTAAATTATAAAATATCTATAACCATGTCTTCTACAATACAGATGGAATCATTTACAAAGACCCAAAATGAGATAAGGAGAAATGAAAGAAATCAAGAATGAATTTCTAAAGAATAATTAGATTTTTTTGGCTATACTTATAACTAGACAGAAGGCAATTTAGTCAGTAACCCCCTACTCCAGCATTCATTAATTTATATGGTACATTAACAAAAACTCGAGGATCCTCAGAAGGCACTCCCAGCCAGCAGCCCTCTTCTTGATGTTCCTTTATAAATGTGTTTCAGTGCTCCATTTTATCATCTTCCACTACCCAGACCAAGGGGATTAAGAATGGAGATCTGACCCAAAACAGACCAATGGACTACGATATGGTTCAGAACAAGGGGTCTGCTTAGCAGTGACACTTCACACTCTATGGTAACTGGCTAAATTAATTATGCCTTATCCTTCTTACAGAGTTTAAATGTGAACCATACAAGGTACATGCACAGAAGAAGAGGCATGTGGAAAGAATGGAATGGACATGAGTGATAAAAAGCAGGTGATGTAGTGTAGAGGAAGAGTCAAAGGTGGAGTCACTAGAAAAGTGGTTGCAGGCCCAAAAGACAGAGAATAGCTGAGTAGCCATAAGCATTAAACTCTAAGGAATAAAGTATCAGGTGCTTCTCTTGAGAATTAGATAGCTAAAGTTAGAGATTTAAAAGGTTATTGTGATTTGTTCTTTACTCTGTAAGGCCTGGCAATGAGGATGCATTCAGAAAGGGGAAATGGGCAAGCTTAAAGTTGCTGCAAATACAATGAATATAGTATGTTAAGGCATTGAAAGTCATTCAGTATGGTGAGCAAGAATACAGTGTGTGAGGAGAAAGCTTTGGTAGACAAGGGCCATATTGTTTATGCTCTAGTCAGTTTGGGAAAGGGTGTGAATTTTATTTTAATTGCAGTAAGAAGGTATCAGAGAGTTTTCAGCCCAAAATAAATAGTTATGATTTCATCGTAAAAATCTCATAATATTAAGCTACTGTCTTCTCAGTGGATACTATGGGACAAAAATGGATAAAGGGAAGCCAGTTTTATTTAATATCAAACAAACTCAGGTAACAACTGGTAGTGTTTGGGGCTAGAATGTTAACATATATTGAGAAAAACACCCATATGGAACATATTTTGGAATTAGTGTAGCTGGCTAAAGAATTAAATAAAGGATACTAATGAAAGAAAGGAAAGAAGGGTATTCCCTAAAGATTTTAGCTTAAGCAATTGAGTGGATCAGGGTGCCTGCAATCTGCTAAGATGGAGAGAGAGATGTAAGACTAGCAGAGGTATGAGGCATTGCATGGAGATCTCTCTTCTGGACGTGTGAAGTTTGAAGTGTGTATTGATCTCAAAATGAAGATGTGGAACAGGCAGTTATATATACTGTCTAGAACTCAAGGGGGAGGCCAGGGCTAAGGAGATACACTTTGAAAACATCTGTGTACTGATGACATTCAAAGCCTAGATGAGATCACTAAGGGAGACTATACAGATGGAGGTCATAGGATGCACTTTCCTGCATAAAAATTAAAGTGTCTGTGCATAGCAAATGTGAAAGAGTGACTCTTGAAGGTTAAACTGGAAGAATATGTTCAACACAATCAAGCCAAGGGTTAATATGTCTCATTGAAAAAGAGTTACTCTAACTTGGTTAAAAAATAAGCCAATAGGGAAAAAAATGAATAAAGAATATAAACAGTGCCAGGAGCAGTGGCTCACGTCTGTAATCCCAGCACTTTGGGAGGCCGAGGTAGGTGGATCACCTGAGGTCAGGAGTTTGAGACCAGCCTGGCCAACATGGCGAAACCCCGTCTCTACTAAAAATACAAAAATTAGCCAGGCGTGGTGGCAGGCGCCTGTAATCCCAGCTACTTGGAAGGCTGAGGTGGGAGAATCGCTTGAACCTGGAAGGCAGTGGTTGCCGTGAACTGAGATCATGCCACTGCATTCCAGCCTGGGCGACAGAGCAAGACTCCACCTCAAAAAAAAAAAAAAAAAAAAAAAAAAAGGAAAAAAATATATAAACAGGCATTTTGTAGTAGAGGAAATACAATTGGTCAATAAATATGAACAGATGGTCTACCTCACTAGCAATCAGGAAAATGAAAATTATGGCAATTGAATATCATTTTTCATTCATCAGATTGGCAAAAGTTAAAAAGAAAATTAAGTCCCTTGCTGAAGTGGATTTATGGAAATAAATAGTTTTATATATTGCTATTGGGAATATGAATTTTTACAGAATTTGGGGAAAAAAATCTGGCCTTACCTGTTTAAACTAAATATACTCTTTGACTTAACAATTTTCAATTTTAAGAACCTATTCTATGTGCTTAAGGACAAGTATATCAAAAAGCGTATTTTTTAGATATGCAAAATAAATTGAAATTCATCATGGGGGACAAAATATAGTATGTTCATATTATGGAATATTATGTAGTTATAAAATAATTTTTAGACATTTTCAATAAATCTGCTTTTAAAAAAGAAACTTGGAGTTTGCTTAAAATTAAACTCATATGTATATACATGTATAAGTGTGCAACATTGTCTTAAAATATATATCAAATAATCACTTTTTAAAAATCTGAGGTGTCTAGGCTTGTGAGTAGGTTATTTTATTGATCTTTTTATTACTTGACTTATGGAAACAACCATGTTATATGCTTGTAATTAAATTAAATATAAATATGTTCATTTTTAAAGAGATAAAGCATAGCTTTTTTAAGAAAAAGGGACAAAAGTACATTGATAGAGTTGTTTGATATTCAGCACTCTTTTTTATATTGGCTTTTTTATATGGTTTGGCTGTGTCCCCACTCAAATCTCATCTTGAATTGTAGCTACCGCAATTCCCATATGTTGTGGGAGGGATCTGGTAGGAGATAACTGAATCATGGGAGTAGGTCTTTCCTGTGCTGTTCTTGTGGTAGTGAATAAATCTTACAAGATCTGGTGGTTTTATGAAGAGGAGTTCCCCAGCACAAGCTCTCTCTTTTTGCCTGCCACCATGTAAGACATGCCTTTGTTCTTCCTTCATCGTCTGCCATGATTGTGAGACCTTCCCAGCCACATGGAACTGTGAGTCCATTAAACCTCTTTTTCTTTATAAATTACCCAGTCTAGGGTATGTCTTTTTATCAGCAGCATGAAAATAGACTAATACACTTTTACTACCACCTACACCTCAATTAAACTGACCTGAACATTGCTGAGGTAGAAGACAGAGTGAGAGTAAGGAGAGATGAAGTGGTTTCAATCTTTACAATAATAAAATATTTGTCCATCAGCAAGAAAACTCAACCTGGTTTACTAATGGGCTGTGCGTGAAAACTCTGAAGCCTGTAAACTAGTTCTTAGCTGCACACTTGTCATGGAACAGTTGCTAAAAAAAATCTAATATAATGAGTCAGAGAAGTTGCTGCATAGACCAACTGATGAACTGTCCTAATTTTAATACTTTTGTAAAGACATCAGATATAAGTGAAAGAATAGCATACAATTTTAACCTGCACAATCATCTACCAGTGAATTCTTCTCATCCCCAAAAGAACTCACATGAATAGCAGTCACTACAAATATATTAACTTTTTAAATAAGTTTTGGACCACTTACGGAGAATAAAATGTTCCCCTACTAAATATACTATGTATCAGACTAATACAAATCAGAAGCGATAACTCTAACAACTTGTATATTACCAGAGAAAAAGACAAAAAAGGGTTCTTAATTTTCTCATACACTAGTTGAATGCTGATTTTAAAAGCTATGAAAAAATAACTACTAAAAACAGAAGCCATATGCATTTCTAGTAGGAATAGCAGTATATATATGTTTGTATAGCAAGTGGAATGATTCATAGCACTTTTAAAATAGAGTATATAATTATAGGCCTAGAACCATACCTGGGCTTAAATAGAGTAAATAATTATAGGCCTAAAACCATACCTGCCTGAAAACGTGCCTAAAAAGAGAGATCTGTTTTTCCTTTTTCTACTTGGTGAATGGGCTATTTTTAATTGCTGAGTTTGAGATAAGGAATTGTTTACCCCTTTTCTACATTGTCCTTAGAATGTGCAGAGGAAAAAAAGTCACAGTCAAGGGAAATTGCAAGCCACACAATGGTAATTCATATGGAAATTTTAAAAAGTACCTCTCTAGAAGCAAATATAAAATAATACAATAAAATATAAATAACATGGATTTTAAAGCCAGAGAGGAATTCTAGCCATACAGTTTGGTAGTCGCTACTTTCAGAAATAAAAGCAGAGAATTCAGTACTTTGGAACTCTGTTACTCTCTCAACAAGGGAGTCAGCCCACTGGTCAGGAATCATGGCTGTTACATCACAGGATTTATGGCTTTGTACTTCTGTGCATTTGCTATTATATCAGAGGAGTTACTTAAAGCCACTTTCCATACCAGACTGTCTGGGGTTTGGATTCTGGCTCTGCCAATTCCTAGCTGTGCAAACATGGGCAAGTTGCCGAATTATTCTGTGCCTTTGCTTCTTTGTCTCCAGAAATGGATAGTGATGTAGAGCCTAATTCTGATGTGAGATGGTATAACTGGAACATATCATAACAGTAATAATAATAGGAATAATTTTGAAGTTACTGGGTGTCTTTGTTGCTCTCATTGCTTTATACATATTAAATCCTTTCATCTTCACAACCTTATGCTATAAATACTTATGAAAACAGTAATATTATTATCCTAACTTTATGAATGATGAAATGTTTCCTTAAGAAAGAAATATAGGTAAAGTTATACAGCCAACACACAGTGGAACCAAAATGCCAATCTGGGCAATATGGCTCCAGAGCTATTCATTTCTACACTTCTCCTTACTAAAAAGATTTTCAACTCTCTGTACATCACTTTAATACCTATACCATGTTGGATGAATTAGGGTCAAAAAGCAAAATAGTCAAAGTAAAGAGGAGGAACTGTCTGTTCACAGTTTATGTACACCATCCAAAGGACACACATTGTTGCTAAATCAAGTACTGCTTCTCCTATTCATTCTTCCATATTCATGTGTCCTTTATCTCTACAATGAAACAATAACCCTCCTGACAGCACTAGGCAGTCCAAAATTCTTGATTATTGCCAATATTGATGGATAATGAAGGGTTGAAGAGATTGCTCACACTCCATTAATCTTTCTCTGATCATGTAGTAAATAATCAATACATAGTTACTGGCCTGACCTCACAATAGTTAGTAGTCATGGCTCTCCAGTCTGCCAAGCTGAGTGGCAGGCATTTCAGACCTAGTTGGCTTTCAGTGGGATATATGTCACTCTTAAATTCTCTTATGCGGCAGTGACTATCTCTTGCCGCATAGTTTTCTATGTTCCTGCAGATGCCTATTTGCAGTAGAAAAACTCAGCTCTTGAATTGAACAAAGGCAAAGCATTTCTCTCATTAGAGAGCATAGAGATCTACTGCAGAAGAGTTCACATAAGCTCTAGGCTTATAAATAATCTTCATCCTGGCACAAATACAATCATAAGGGATGCAAGGTGAATGGTGTTAAAATCTGAGAAAACAAAGGCAGATGGACAGTTTGCACCAAATGGTCTCCTGGGCACAGGCACAAAAAATATGCAAATAGTTGAAAGAAAGTGTAGGTCTGCTCAAGATGTAATACTACAAGCTGAGGAAGACCCAAACAGGAGAAGACACATTGCATTGAGATTCGAAGGTCCTGTTTGGTGTTACCTAATCACTTTTTTCTCCATTTGCTTTTTAAAAAATATGTTTATTTGTTACAGATCTTCAACCTCTGCATGTTCTTGCTTTTCAAGTTAGAATCTTTTCCTTTCTGACACAATGCAGCAGGAATCTTGCAAACTAGAGTACTGCAGCCAGCTGCTTGCTAGACTGTCACCCTTTTAACCTGCAGCTGTGCAGGCAAAGTGCTGACGGGTCAATTACTGTGAGGAGGGAAACTTCTGGGAAGGAAACAAAACCTGCCAACCAAGAAGCAGATGCTTTAGTCTGATACATTCAGGTGGCTGCCTACCCACGTGGTACTGAGGTAGGGTGATGATTATGTGTAATGACTCAGTATATTGTTACTGTGATTAAGCACTCATACTTTAAAAGTGAACATAGTATATGGGAGGTAGGACTCATGCTTCTGCAGAAGACCCTTGTTCATCTCATTCCCCTTACTATTTCCAACATTTTCCTGTGATTTATATACTCATTTTTTTCAGTAAAGTATGTACTGTCAGCTCTGTGCTAGGTGTGATGGTAAGCACCAGAGTTATAAAGGAAGCGAACAAAGTGTCCCTGTTTTAATAGAGCTTATTTTCTAGGTGAAATAAAATACAATAACCATGTTAACAAACAAGTGAGATACTTTTATGTGTCGATACTTAATATGAAGAAAATACAATAAAGTGATATAAAATAAATGAATTTGTGTGGATGAGGTTACATAAGATTGGATGGTTAGGAAAGTCTTCTCAGAGCATGTAACTTCTAATCCGAGACAAAAAAAAGTCAAAAAGAAGCCATACAAATGATAATCCGAGTGGAAAGGTGTAGTTCGGATAGAACTAACACCAGTGGAAAGATGTCAGCAAAGAACTAAGCTTGCCAAACTGAATATGTTCAGGGAAAGACAAAAGTCCTTTCTGCTCATTTATTATCATTAATTATCATTTATTATCATGTGGCATTACCGACTTGAGGACTCAGGGGATGGAATATGGCATTGCCAGAGAAGCTGGCAAGTGAGAGAGGAAATTTTTCAAAGGAAGAACCCAGCAGGTGAAAGCGAGGTCCAAAATCTATATATAAATTCAGATCAAGCCATCTGATCAAATGGCTTGCTTAATTAGCCACTGAAAAACTGCTGAAGTGTAAAAGAAGCTCCATGGGGGCAAAAGAAAAGTAAGAGCTGGAAAGCTGAAAAACCAAACAGAAATGTCAGCAACTTCTTACCATAATTTGGAGTTGAGTCCAGCTTGGTCCAGTACCTGCTAGGAAAAAAACTCAACAATCTTCAGGGGAAATTTGGAAAAATTCAGAATCTTTATAAAGTATCTTTGACAATATGTAGTATAAAATACAAATACATGCAAAGAAACAAAGAAACGTGACCATGCGTCGCCCATAGTCAAGAGAAAAAATAGCCTATCAAAGCTCACCTGAGGAGAATAAGTGCCTGAATTAGCAGACAAATACTCTAAAGTGGTCATTATAAATATATTTAAATACTAAAAGAAAAATATGTTAATAAATGAGCAGATAAAAAATATTAATAGGGAAATATAAAGTATATGTTTTTTTAGGAATCATATAGAAATTTTCAAACTTAAAAGGTCAGTATTCAAAGATAACCTCACCAGATGGACTCTAAGTCATACCAGAGATGGCAAGAGGGCAAAAATAGATAAAAGTGAAGATACATAAAATTATTCCGTTTTAAAAGAACAAAGAAAAAAAGACTGACTTATGGAACAATATTAAGCAGTCATATACATTCTTCTGAGTTTCAAAAGAAGAGGAAAGACAATGGGACAGAAAAAAAAATATATGAATGAATAATTACTGAAAACATTGTAAATTTGTCCAAAAGGTTAAGAAAGCTCTGTGGCCCAAATTTGTTGAAAAACATTAACTTACAGATCCAAGAAGCTTTTTATTCTAAGTAAAATGAATCCAAAGAAAGTTATACCAAGGCATATCATACTCCATAATACATACTCTAATAACTAAAAAAATAAATAAAGAGAAAATCAAATTTCTTTCACAGTGACCATAATAAGGATTCTCATCAGAAACACGGGAGGCAAGAAGACAAGGTAATTGCATCCTTGAAGTGCGGGGGTAAAAAAATCAGCCCAGAATTCTTTAGTCAGAAAAAAAAATCCTTCAAAAGGGAAGATAAAATAAAGACATTGCAGATAGATTAAAAATGAGATAAACTATTACTAGTAGACTTACACTATGAGAAATGATAAAATGTTTGAGTCGAAAATTATTCTAAGATTTCACTTATTCCAAGATTACATCTGGTCTAAGCTGTACATTTGGTACAAATGGTATCTCTGAATAAATGAAAAGTAATAGAAATGTTAAATATATAGGTTAAATTAAAAGGTTATATAATTTTGTTGTCTTAATTTCATTAAACATCAAAGAACTTTTTAAAAATAATTATTATTTTTCTTTTAAGTTCTGGGATACACGTGCAGAATGTGCAGGTTTGTTACATAGGTAAATGTGTGCCATGGTGGTTTGTTGCACCCATCAACCTGTCAGCTAGGTATTAAGCCCAGCATACATTAATGGTCTCCCCTGACACACTCCCCCAACAGGCCACAGTAAGTGTTATTCCCGTCCCTGTGTCCATGTATCCTGTGTCCATTTTTCAGCTCCCACTTATAAGTGAGAACATGCAGTGTTTGGTTTTCTATTCCTGCATTAGTTTACTTAGGGTAAGGACTTCCAGCTTTATCCATGTCCCTGCAAAGAACATGATCTCATTCCTTTTTTATGGCTGTGTAGTATTCCATTGTACATGTACCACATTTTATTTATCCAGTCTATCATTGATGGACATTTGATAGGACATTTGATGGACATTTGATGTCTTTGCTATTGTGAATAGTGCTGCAGTTAACATACGCGTGCATGTATCTTTATAACAGAATGATTTATATTCCTTTGGGTATATAGCCAGTAATGAGATTGCTGGGTCAAATGGTATTTCCAGTTCTAAATCTTTGAGGAATCTCCACACTGTCTTCCACAATGGTTGAACTAATTTATGTTCCCAACAAAAGTGTTTCTTGACTTTTTAATAATTGCCATTCTGACTGGCGTGAGATGCTATCTCATTGTGGTTTTTAATTTGCATTTCTCTGATGATCAGGGATGTTGAGTTTATAAACCTTTCAAAGCAAGCATTATAAGCCTGTATTGTAAGGTTTATAGTGTATTAGGATGTGATATGTATGATGACAATAGCACAATGTATGAGGTAGAGTCTTTTTCCTTTTATTTTGTAGTTGATATAATAATTGCACACATTATAGGTTACAGTTATATTTCAATACATGTATACAGTGCAAAATGATCAAACCAGGGTGATTAGCATTATCAGTCACCTCAAAGAGCCATCATTTCTTTGTGTTGTGAATATTTGAAGTCCTTTCTTCTAGCTTTAAAAAAAATATACACAAAATTAATGCTAACCTTATTCATTCCACAGTGCTAGAGAACACTAGAACTTATTCTTCCCATCTAGCTGTAACTTTGTGTTTGTAAACCCAGCTCTCTTTATCCTTCTCTCTTCTCTACTCTACCTAAGCCTCTAACAATCACAATTCTACTCTCTACCTCTATGAGATCATTTTTTTTTAGTTTCCACATATGAGTGAGAAAACATAGCATTTAATTTTTTATGCCTGACTTATTTAACTTAACATAATGTCCTCCAGGCTCATCCCTATTAAGATGAATGATGGATTTAATTCTTTTTTATGGCTGAATAGTATTCCATATATATCACATTTTTAAAATCCATTCATTTGTTGATATAAACTTAGGTTGATTAAATATCTTGGGTATTGTGAATAGAACTGCAATAAGCATGGGGTCGCAGGTGTGTCCTAGATATACTGATTTTGGATAAACACCTAGTAGTGGGATTGCAGGAATTTATGGTAGTTCTATTTTTAGCTTTTTGAAAAACCTTTATACTTTTCCATAATGGCCATACTAATTTTTATTCCTACCAACAGTGTATAAGAGTTCTCTTTTCTCTGTATCCTCACCAGCATTTTTTATATATTGCCTTTTTGATGACAGCCATTATAACTAGAGGTAATATCTCACTGTGGTTTGAATTTACATTTCGCTGATAATTAGTGATACTGATAATTTTTGCATATACCTTTTGGCCATTTCTAAATCCTCTTCTATGAAATGCCTAGTCAGGTGTTTTGCTCATTTTTAACTCAAATTATTATTATTATTTTGCTGTTGAGTTTTTGAGCTTCATATATGTGTATATATTTGCTCTGTCTCCCAGGCTGGAGTGCAGTGGCACAATCTTGTCTCACCACAGCCTCAACCTCTTCAGCTCAAGTGATCATCCTCCCTCAGCCCCCCAAGTAGCTGGCACTACAGGTGCTTACACCACACTTGGTTATTGTCTTCTTTTGTATTTTTTATAGAGAGGGGGTTTCACCATGTTGCCCAGGCTGGTCTTGAACTCCTGAACTCAAGTGACCTGCTTACCTTGGCCTCCTAGAGTACCGGGATTAAAGGTGTGAGTCACCATGCCCAGCCTTCTTGTATATTTTGTATGTTAGTTACTTATCATTCAAATGCAGTTTTCCCCTGTTTTACAGGTTGTCTCTTCATCCTGTTCACTGGTTTTTTGTTTGTTTTGTTTTGTTTTTTTGCTGTGCAGAAGCTTTTTAGTTTGATATAGTTTCATTTGCCTATTTTTTTTCCCTGTGCTTTTGAAGTCTTTGCCATAAACATCTTTGTCTAAACCTATGTCCTAAAGCATTTCCCCTGTATTTTTTTTCATAGTGGTTTTACAGTTTGGGGTCTTACATTTGTTTTTAATCCACACTGGTTGGTTTTTGTATATGGTAAGAAATAGGGGTCCAGTTTCTTTTTTCTTTTCTTTTTTTTTTTCTTTTTTTTTTTTTTTTGCATATAGATAGCCAGTTTCCAAGCATGATTTATTGAAGACAATGTCCTTTCCCCTCACTATGTTCCTGGTACCTTATTGAAAATCAGTTGGCTATAAATACATGGATTTATTTCTTGGTTCTCTAGTCTGTTACATTGGTCTATGTTTCTGTTTTTATATCAACACCATGCTGTTTGGGTTACGATAGCTTTATAGTACATTTTGAAATCAAATAGTGTAATGCTTTGAGCTATGTTCTTTTTGTTCAGGATTTCTTTGGCTATTTGGGGTCTTTTGTAGTCCCACACGAATTTCAGAATTTTGTGTTTAATTTCAGTAGAGAATGTCATTGGTATTTTGATAGGGATTGCATTTAATTTGAAGATTGCTTTAGGCAGTATGGTTATTTTAACAATATTAATTCCTTCAATTCATGAACATGGAATGTCTATTTGTCTCTTCCTTAACTTCAATTATCAGTGTGTTGTGTTGTAGTTTTCATAGTAGAAATTTTTCACTTCTTTGGTTAAATTTATAACTAGCTATGTAATCTGTTTTTGTAGCTATTACAAATGATATTGTTTTCCTTTTCAGCTATTTTTATTATTGGCATATAGAAATCATATTGATTTGTGTATATTGATTTTGTGTCCTGTAACTGTACTTGTTTATCAGTTCTATGTGTTTTTTGATGAAGTCTTAGGTCTTGCTGTCAATAAGTAAGATCATGTCATCTGCAAAGAGAAACAACTTGACTTTCTTGTGTGTTTTTTTGTTTCTTTTTCTTTTTCTTTTTTTGAGACAGAGTCTTGCTGTGTCACCCAGGCTGGAGAGTACAGTGGCACAATCTCAGCTCACTGCAACCTTTGCCCCCTGGGTTCAAGTGATTCTTGTGCCTCAGCCTCCTGAGTAGCTGGGATTATAGGCACCTGCCATGATGCCTGGCTAATTTTTGTATTTATAGTAGAGATGAGGTTTCACCCTGTTGACCAGACTGGTCTCAAATTCCTAACCTCGGGTTATCCACCTGCCTTGGCCGCCAAAAATGCTGGGATTGCAAGCATGAGCCACCACACTCAGCCTTGACTTTTTTTTTTTTTTTTTTTTTTTTTTTTTACTAATTTGGATACCTTTTATTTCTTTCTCTTGCCTGATTGCTCTAGCTAGGACTTGCAGTATTATGTTGAATAGGGTTCATGAAAGTAGACTAGCTGTTTTGTTCCATTTCCTAGAGGAAAAATACTTTAGCTTTTCCCCATATTGTATAATGCTACCCATAAGTTTGTCATATAGGGCCTTTAATATGTTGAGATGTTTCTCCTTCTATGCTAATTTGTTGAGAATTTTCATCATGAAGAAATGTTGAATTTTATCAAATGCTTTTTCAGTGTATATTGATATAATATTTCTTTGTCCTTCATTATGTTGAGGTGATATTTATTGATTTGGTGTACATTGAACTATTTTTGCATCACTGGGATAAATCTCAACTTATCATAGCATATTGTCTTTTTGATGTGTTGTGGATTTGGTTTGCTAGTCTTGTATTGAGAATTTTTGCATATATAATTATTAGAAATAATGGCCTGTAGTTTTGTTGTTGTCGTGGTGGTGGTGGTGATGTCCTCATCTGGTTTCACTATCTGAATAATGCTAACCTCATGGAATGAGTTAGAAAGAATTTCCTTACCCTTCATTTTTTGGAATAGAGAATAATTGGTGTGAGTTCTTTATATTTTGGTAGAATTCAGCAATAAACTCATATGGTCCTGGGCTTCTCTTTGGTGGGAAACTAGTACTTATTCAATCTCATTATTCATTACTTGTCGCCTCAGGTTTTTAATATTTTCTTAGTTGAATCTTGGTAGGTTGTGTGTATACATGAATTTATCCATTTGCTTTTGGTTTTTCCATTTGTTAGTATATAGGTGTTTACTTTAGTCTCTAAAGATCTATTTTATTTCTGTGGTATCTGTTATGTCTCCTTTTTCATTTCTGATTTTAGGTGTTTCGATTTTCTCTTTTTCTGTCAGATAATCTAGTTCTTGGTTTTCTATTTTCCTTATATTTTCAACAAGCCAGCTTTTTTTGCTGATCCTTTGTATCCTTTTTAGTCTCTATTATGTTTAGTTCTGCTATGATCTTTATTATTTTTTTC
Organism: Homo sapiens; assembly: GCF_000001405.40. Taxonomy (NCBI): domain Eukaryota; kingdom Metazoa; phylum Chordata; class Mammalia; order Primates; family Hominidae; genus Homo; species Homo sapiens. The sequence goes on from NC_000005.10 coordinate 117,630,473, forward strand.
CTTCACTAACTTTGGGCTTGGTTTGTTCTTGCTTTTCTAGTTTTTATGAACTGCATAATTAGGCTGTTTATTTGAAATCTTTCTACTTTTTGATTGAAGTGTTTATTGCTATAAATGTCTCTCCTCATACTGCTTTTGCTGTATTCTATACATTTTGGTATGTCGTGTCTCCATTTTTGCTTGTTTCAAAATTCTGGTGATTTTCTTCTCAATTTCTTCATGAACCCAATAGTTGTTCAAGATCATGTTATTTAATTTCCATTTATTTTTACAGTTTTCAAAGTTTCTCTTATTTTTGATTTCTGGTTCTGTTCCATTGTGGTCTAAAGAGATTTTTTAAAATTATTTTTTAAATGTTTGTTGAGACTTGTTTTGTGTCTCAACATAAGGTCTATCCTGGATAATGTTTCATGTGCTGTAAGAAGAATATGTATTCTGTAGCTGATGGATCAAATGTTCTGTAAATGTCTACTAGGTCCATGTGGTCTATAGTTCAGATTAATTCCAATGTTTCTTTGTTGATTTTTTTTTTTTGTCTAGATGATCTCCCCAATGCTGAGTAGAAATAGGGTATTGAAGTTCCAAACTATCATCTTATTTGAGTTTATCTCTCCCTTTCAATCTAATAATATTTGCTTTATATATCCGAGTGCCGTAGTTTTTAGTGCATATGAATTTATAATTGTTTTGTTCTCTTGTGGAATTGATCCCTGTATCATTATATAATGACTTTCTTTGCCTCTTTTACGATTTTCGCCTAAGATTAGGTTATGGTTTGGCCGTGCCCCCACCCAAATCTCATCTTGAATTGTAGCTCCCATAACTCCCACATGTTGTGGGAGGGACCTGGTGGGAGATAATTGAATCATGGGGGCGGTTCCCCCATACTATTATCATGGTAGTGAATAAGTCTCACAAGATCTGATGGTTTTTTAAGGGGTTTCTCTTTTTGCTTGCTTCTCATTCTCTCTTTGCCTCCCACCATCTAAGAGGTGACTTTTGCTTCCCATTATGATTGTGAGGCCTCCCCACCAATGTGGAACCGTGAGTCCATTAAACCTTTTCCCTTATAAATTACCCAGTCTCAGTTATGTCTTTATCAGCAGTGTGAAAGCAGACTAATACAGATTATTTTGTCTGCCATAAGTATAGCTACATTTTTATGCTTACATGATTTTTTTTTCTATCATTTCACTTTCAGTCTGTGTGTTGTTACAGGTGAAGTGAGTTTCTTTTAGGCAGAATATAGTTGAGTTCTCTTTTATATATTTTTTAATCCATTCAGCCATTCTGTAACATTTAATTGGCAAACATAAATGGTTAACGTTCAAGGTTGTTATTGATAGGTAAGGACTTACTCCTCTTATTTTTGTTAATTGTTTTCAGATTGTTTTGTACACTGTTTCTTCCTTTGTTCCTTTTTTTTATCTTTACGATTTGGCGATTTGCTTTAGTGATAATATTTGTCTTCCTTTTTTCTTATTTGTATATCTTCTCTACCAGTGAGTTTTATATTTTCATGAATTTTCATGATGGTAGATATTATCCTCTCACTGTTAGATGTAGGACTCTTTTAAGCATTTCTTGCAGGTCAATCTAGTGTTGATAAATTCTCTCAGATTTTGATTGTCTTGGAAAAACTTTATTTTTCCTTTTGAAGGATATCTTTGCTGGTTATTTTATTCTTCATTAACTTATTTTTTCTTTCATTACTTGAATATATCATTCCATTACATCCTGAACTGTAAGGTTTTTGCTGAGAAATCTGCTGTTATTGTCATGGAGATTCTCTTAACTGTAGTTTGATGCTTTTTTCTTGCCGTTTTAAAAATTATCTTTCTGTCTTTATCTTTAGATAGTTTGACTATAATGTGCATCAGAGAATACCTTTGGGATTGAGTCTGCTTGGCGATCTTTAAGCTTCTTGGATTTGGATGTCCATAAATCTTCAAAGACTTGGGAAGTTTTAGCTATTATTTCATTAAATAGATTTTCTATGCCTTTTCTCATCTCTTCTCCTTCTGGAACATACAAAACTTGAACATTTGTTTACTTGATGGCATGTGTCCCTTGTGTCACATAGACATTCTTCATTCTTTTTATTATTTTTGTTTTTTTGTTACCTGACTGTGCTGTTTCAAAAGACCTGTCTTCAATCAGACATTCTTTTTTTCCTGCTTGACCTAATCTACTGTTAAAGCTTTCCTTTGTATTTTTTTGTTTCATTCTTTGAATTCTTCAGTTCCAGGATTTGTATTTGGTTCCTTTTTATGATATCTCTTTGTTGAGTTTTTCATTCAGATTATAAATTGTTTTCCTGATACTTTTGTATTTTCTACTTGTGTTCTCTTGTATTTTACTGTTTCCGTAAGATTATTATTTTGAATTTATTTTTAGGCATTTCATCGATTTCCTTTCACTTGGGGTCTATTATTGGAGAATTATTATGTTCCTTTGAATGTGCTGTGTTTCATTGCTCTTTCATGTTTCTTCTCTCTTTATGTTGACAGAATATATCTGTGCATATGGTGTAATGGTCACTTCTTCCAATTGTATTGAGTAGCTTTTGGAAAGAAAGATATTTTCCTGTAGATGTTATATAGTATGGACTGAGTAGGGTACATTGGCTTTGATTTTGTGTTGGTGCCATATTGTTTATTCAGTTGTAATAAATGTCAGTGGTGTCTGTGACTCAGTAACTTAAACTGAGGTTGTTCATGGAGTCTATTATAAGGCTTTGTTGGTAACAGTAGTACCAGTTGGGCTGGTCTTGAAACTCCTGCGTGGTATATGCAGGCATTTGTGGTGGTAGTGAAACGCTGGGTAGGTATGTCCTTGAATCCCTGGGTGGGGCATATGGGTGCCAGCAATGGTGGCAGTGACCTAGGACAGCCTGCTTGAGGTAGAGTGTTTTAACAGAAATATATTACTGCATGTAGTATGACATGTTAAAATGTGAATTCTAGCCAGGCGCGGTGGCTCATGCCTATAATCCCAGCACTTTGGGAGGCCGAGGCAGGCAGATCACAAGGTCAGGAGTTCAAAACCAGCCTGGCCAACATGGTGAAACCCCGTCTCTACTAAAAAAATACAAAAATTAGCCAGGCATGTGACATGCACCTGTAATCCCAGCTACTTGAGAGGCTGAGGCTGGAGAATCCTTGAACCCAGGAGGTGGAGGTTGCAATGAGCCAAGATCACACCACTACACACCAACCTGGGTGACACAGCAAGACTCCATCTCAAAAAAAAAAAAAAAGTGAATTCTACATAGACTGAGATAAGTCAAGAATGTGTAGAGAAATCTCTACAAAAGGCATTAAAAACAAAGAGGAAACTAAAATTTTAATAGATAAATGAAAATTGGAATTTTAATAAAATATTTACATAATTCAAGAAAGGTAGAATGGGAAAAACACAGTAACAGCAAATAGGTGACATAGATAGGAAACAGCAAAATGGTTAGCCTAAATCAATTAACATCAATAAGCTTACCAGATATACGTGAAATAGTCATTGGATAAAAAAGCAAGATGTGACCATATACTAGTGCCAAAAGATGGACTTTGAATATAAAGAGAGATTATTTGAAGGTAAAAGTATTGAGAAAAAGATATATCATACAAACAGCACAATAAAGCTGGAGTGATTATATCAGGCAAAATAGATTTCACGACAAGGAGTATTAACAGACATAATGAATAAAGGTAACTACAAAAAAAAGTTGAATTCACAAAGATTTAAACATTATAAATTTGCATGTACTTAATAATAGAGCTTCAAAGTGCATGAAACAGAAATTGACAAAACCAAAAGGAGAAAAAGACAATCTACAAATAGAGATGGATATTTTAACACCTTGGTGCAGTATTTGGAAGAAAAAATCTAGGCAAAAGTATCAATATAAACATAGAAGACGTGAAAATCATTAAAATCTACCTTAACCTTACCTAACTGAATTTATATTTTACTGCACACAACAGTGGCTTAAAGTCTTTTTAGGTGTATCTGGAATATTCATCAAACATAGACTCTAAATTAAATTACAAAATACAAATGATTGAAATTTTACAGAATATAGTCTCTGACAACACAAGAAATTAGAAATTAGTAACAATAAAGTATTTAGAAAAGCCCCCAATATCTGAAAATGAATAACATACCTCTAAATAGCTCATGGATCAAGAAGAAACTACAAGGGAAATTAGAAATTATACTAAACTAAATGATAATGAAAACATATCAAAATTTGTGAGAGGCAGTTAAGATTATTAATACTTTTCTTGTTTTTTTTCTCCTTAAACTTTAGGCAGAAGAAGGAGTAAAGAAAGCATAAATTCTGTATCTGTGTTTGGGTAAATATATTTTTATTAGGTATGCCCAGCACAGAGATTTACTTGTAGTAAAGAGCAATGCCAGATACTTAAATATTGCTTCCCACTTCGTGATTCTAATTTTATAAATATTTCTATCAATCTGTTGGTATCTATTTTAACCAGCCCTCATGGTTAAGTCTCTGAACATGACAAAAGTCTTTGAACTACTCTACCAAGAGTGACACAGTCTCCATCAAGCTCTGGAGCCATGTAGTCATGGCAGAGCAAAGAGTATTTAGCTCACTGGGGATTGGAATTCAGCATCGTTACAAATGGACACAGTTCACACTGGGACACGATATCTCCTTGGATGTCTGGATAATCTCCACTTTCTTTTTTGCCCTCATAGCTGATATGGTCCAGGGATTCTGCCTCTTCTACATTTTCTCCCCTGTTAGAATGGAGGTCCTAAATCCAGTCAACTGACTGGAGCTAGTATTCTTCCTAGGCCAGGACAGCCCTTTCCTTAATGTAGGCAGATCAGGCCAAAATAATGATTGTTGAAAATGATATAGAAAGATGAATAGAATTGTGCTTTCTTTGCTATCCTAGGGTATGAAAACATATTCTGTTCTCCCTTTTCCCTGTAATTCTACAAACATCTACTGCACACTTAAACAGAATCTGCAAATTTCTCCCCTGAAAGCCAGAGAAGTTTCTCTGCCACACACCAGCTCTTTCTCTTTGACACGTAAGAAGATGTATCCTTTCTTACCAACCAGCAGAAACTGGGACATGCACACCACTCCCGTGCCCTCCCACCTCCTTCCCAGTCTTTCCTTCTTCCACCTGAGTTGACACTTTTGCCCTTGAGAGATTCTCCTGATTACTCAAGACATTCCGTCCACTTTAAGTACAGGCCACAGGTCCCATGGCAAGAGCATTTGTCTCTTAACATGTAGGAGTCTTTATACATTCCAGTCTCTAATGATGACAGGCTTGCAGTGGGCTCTTAATTCTTAATTTCTTACGGAAGTTTTAGTTTTCTAAAGGCAGTCTAGGCCTTGCAGCATCTCTTCTGAATTCTATGACACATGAAAAGTGCTCAAATATTATGCCAGCCCTCATGATTTCACAGTTCAAACTTTATCCCATCATTCTCACTTCACAAAATGCTTCCATCCACCAGAAACCCCATTTCTGTGAAGAAATGAGAAATATATTTACCCTCTAACTGGCACACTACGTATTTTAAGTGCTGACCACACAATCTTCAAACCATTTTGGTAAGACATGCAGTGAGAGCATAGTTAGAGCTGAAGATTTTCCTTATTAAAAATTGCTGATTGCTTTTCCTTTCAGCATAAGAATGTGCACCTTATATACAAAGCCCTGCAATTCGAATGTAATTAAAACACATCCATTACCTCACACAAATCCAATGACACACAAAAGTAGTTTAAATGGGCATATAGACCCTCAAAAGCCTTTCTAACATCAATGGGAGGTAATTTCCTGTAATTATTTGATAGTGATCAGGGCCAAGAAAATTTCATGAAATAGCTGCTGTTTCCATGATCAATAGGGTAATCTTCCTTGACACATTAAAAATAGCTAGTAATAGGTAAAAACAACCCATGACAGATGATGAGCAACTTCTTATATTTTGAAAGTGTTTGTTGTGTCGCACTAGAAGGCTTTTTTTTTCTTTGCTATTTATCTCCAAAGCCCTGCCTTGAATTGTGACACTAACCACTGCATGTCAATTTGTAGCTCTTTCTTTATTCCAGACTTTACATTTTAGGCATTGTTGTGATTATGGCTTTATTGCCTATGGGCACAAGTACCTAGGACTTTGGGGCCATAAAGCTGCCTTTGCAGCTTGTGCCTTTTCTGACAATCCAAAAAAGTGGCTTTTCCATATTTCCTTCATTTTCCTTGTCTATGATATGAAAAAGGTTTGCAGCATGGCAAGATCAATTAAGAGCAGAAACCCAAAAGCTGTTAGCTGAAAAACAAACAAAAAATACCTATGGTGAAGCGTGATTTTTGGGTGAAGTTAAAGGCAGGAAGCTGGTAGAGTTCATAGGTTGTTTAGTGGATTAGTTGATAGCATGTAAATATTTAAAATGTTTATTTAAAACTACAGGTCTCTGGATTCTTTTGAAACATCAGAAGCTCTTGAAATAAAAAGTCTGGTCCTCAAGTGTCCACATTCAGTTGATTCTTCTGTTTAGGTTGGCATCTCTCTGATTGACCACTCTCCACCTGGTCTGTCTCACTCATATATATTTCCTTTTAGCCACTGTGAGCAACTGTGTTTCAGGTCCCTGGTCAATGACTGTTTCTCATCAAAACACCAGTATCCTTGGGAACAATAACATATTAACTGGGCCTTATGAACCGTTATACATTAATAGGAGTGTGTTTTTCTGATATTTCGGCAATTTTACCTTGTATTAACTCTGGCTAGAACTTGTTTGAAGATTCGACTTTAAGTCTTACAAACATGTATCACAATGATTTAAGTCCCCAGACATACATTTTCCAATAGGAACGGGTTATTTTCATTGAAATATAAATGCTCTACTAATATTGCCAAAGGAGGAATAGATGCACCTGAATTGTCCTGAGAAATGCCCTCACTGCGCCAGATGATCATCCCAAGATATGATGCTGGAAATCACGAGGGTTCCTGTATGCCACCGAATTATATTCAGTAACAAAGCCACCCACCTCAGATGCCCAGGAACATCTCCCTTTTCTGTCAATCATCTCTGATCATTTCTTTAGCAGGAAGAATATCAATATCCGTCAATCTAACTTCTCAGTTGGGGTGAATTTTCTAAGATATGAAGAGACAGATGTCAAAGCTTTGGGTAACCTACAAAATTATTACATTATTATTCCTTACAACTTTATTCTGGTATTGCTATACTCCATGCTACCTGGCTAACAGTTTTATACTTTATATTGTATATTGTATTTTTATTACATGGCAAAACACACATAAGCTTTCTGGTCAGAAAGGTTTTAGTTTTACTCATGTTGCTATCATTTCTTAGCTGTTTGACCTTAGGCAACTTGCCTAAACTCTCAAACCCTTACCTGTAAAATAGATACAATACCACTAACATTAGAGTTAAAATGAGTTACGTAAGATAATACACATGACAATATCTGACATATTCCTTGTACTTAGTAGTCATTTAATAAAAATTATTTTCTCCATTTGCCAACATCTGTTAAAAGGCATAGCTTCTGTCATTACATGCTTTCCAGCATGTCTTTGCTCCACTTATTTATACTGAAAATCAACATCTCCACTTCCATTTCTGTAAAGTTGCAGCTTCATTGAGTCTTATGAAGTATTAATTGACAGGTTTATAGTTGCGAGATAACCCAACTTGAACTTTAAATAATGAAAGGGATATGCTGGCTCAAACAGATGAAAACTTGAAGTAAGTTTTGACCAATGACCTAAATGACATGACCAATGTCCAGTTTCTATCTCTCCATTCTTAGGACTGATACCACATTATTAACCCCCATCTCAGGCAAGCTTTACCCTCAAGGCCATAAATTGCTATCACCCATAGCAGAGACTATTTGTCTCCTCATTTACATTCAATAAGAAATATAAACTTTTATTTTTCCCATAGCTCATATATAAGTCTCAGAGTTGAGTCTCATTGACCTGGTTAAATTTAGCTACATAATATTCCCATAATAGTTGAGGAATTAGGATATGTGTACTGGTACAGTGAAATTTGGGTCTATTCCCATTACTATAGTGGGTGATTTTTTTCATGCAAATATTATGTCTGGTTAATTTAAGGTTGTGATAGGAAGATGAAGGGGGAATATGTGCTGAGGAGGCTAACAACAAATGGCTACAAAGCCAGATTGAACTGGTTCACCATTCATGCCCATCTTAAAAGCACTTCCTTTCTGATACTGTGTATTCTACACCACATGCTGCCCTTTTCAGAATGTGGGTGAGGTGATACCTCCTTAATAAGGGTTCCTAGAACCTTGTCTCTCTTTTCTACCTGGTAACCTCTTCAACAGATGGGGGCCTCATGGAGTCACAGCCAGCAGGGTTCGGATTTGGGCATAAGCTGTGAAAGTAGAATCCGGTGTTCCCATCCCTGGTCTGCCTCCCCTCATTGTAGGATTAATCATTGTTCTAATGCTAGAGGACATAACACTATCTTTCCCATATTGAAAATAAAACATACTTAACAGTGTGCTTGGCATATAGAAAGTGCCTAATAAATTAAATAATGGTTCTTCTTACAAAAATGAGACTAGTCTTAGAGAATGTGTCTATAAAACATTTCCCAACTTCTCCCAGGCAAAGCCTCTGTCTCAAATCTGCTCCTTTGTGCCTTATACAAGTACACAAAAATAAGTGTCTGCAATGTGAAAAGTGACACGTAACTACCATTTCCCCTGCAGAAAACTGTAAACCCTTAACAGCAGGAATTTACCTATTTTTATTTCCACCAGACCAATTTAAATTGTTACCTTTTATGAAAAACTTCCTGCAGGCTAACATTTACTATAGATTGTATCATTAGTGCTTAGCCCAATTTTAGGTGTTGTTGGGTATTACCAAAATGGCACTGTCAAGAAGCTCTGGGCACTTTCTACTTAACAGAAATGTAGCTGAAAATATCGGGACATACAAAGGAAAGTAGGATTTTCATCACTACATGGATTCCTCAGGGAGGGAGATCACCGAGGCTAAGCCAGAGTGGATATCTTCACCCAAAGTAAAATTAGGTGAACCCTGAGATGGACCTGGCTAGAAGCTCTGGAAACAGAGCCTCATCTAAAGGAAGAAGTCTGCTTGTAGTAATGGGAAAACTTGCACATATGTTGGTATCTCTGTCCAGAGAGAAACAGAAAAGGCAAGTGTGTGGCTACTAGATATCAACGCAAAGGATTACAACCAGAGAAATATAATGTATAAGAAAATTGGAAAGGATCACAGAGCTGACTACAGAGGATGACAGGCTTTACCTATTAAAATTATGAGCAGTGCCTCCTCTTGTGAGTCTCACTGACCTTCATATATTTTCCTTTCCACTATTTTTCTTTCATCAACATAACCTCAAATCAATATTATTATTTTTCTTCTTTTACCTCACTGCAGACCAGACTTTCCCTTGTGGCACCATTTCCTGCTTCTGGAAAATGAAAACAGACACATTTCTACATTTTTATATGATTTGTCCCTAACATTGCTCCTGGCTTCTCCAATACTGCTATTTTAGCATCTGTAAGCATTTGGCTTCATCATTCTAAAAAACAAAACAAAAAACAAACAAAAACACACTTCATGTCTTTCTAAACTATGCAGAGGTTATCAAGGTACAACAATGTTACATCTGCTGTGATTCTAATAAATTCTAAATTAAGAGTATGAAATCCAGAATGTCTCTTGTTGGTAGCCCATGCCATGCCAAAAAAAAAAAAAAAAAACAAAAACACTGGCTGTCTTTGCTTCTCTTGACTACTTTCCAGATCCCCTCATGAAGTAAATTTGAATGAAAAGAAAGGATGAAAGGAACACTGTTCAACCATGGGCAATCTGAGCAAGAGGCTGGGTTAGAAAAATGTGTAAATGGAAAATTGGTGGGGGGGATGATGACAACTTGAGCTGAAAATTTTAAGAGTGCTTTCATGCTATGCATATGCTTTTTCATGAGCCTGCACATTTATTGATATTAAATAAAATATTCTCTGACGTGTAAATGTACCTGACGTGAATATACACTGTTCTCCATTTCATCCCATAAATAATTAACTATTTTTTTTCCCAGGAGTGCCTAAGGAAGATTTCAGATTAGGAGGTCATTCTTAGAAAAACAATTTTGAGGTTTCTTTTCTGGGGAAGGAGAAAGGGCTTTGACTTTTCATTGATAACCTCAAATATATTTTTAATCAATTATTTCCCTTCATTTTCCTTTACGCTTCTATTTGAGGTGCCCAACCTTTAAAAGTCTTACCTTTAAGGGAACTAATCTTTATAGAGGAGACTAGAGCTCCATAAAGCTGGTACTGATAATAATATGTTTTTGGCCATCTTTACTAAATTAACTCACAGGTGAGTTTTAGACAAGTCATACTTCTTTGTTGGATCTCAGCAGCATGCATAAAACAACTGGAATTGGACTAGATGAAAAATAGTCCTTTTGCATTGTTGGTATAGTGATTTCCAAATACTTTACAAACCTTATATTTAGTATCTATAATAAAACCCTTAGGGGTATATTTTAGCAGATGAGGGAACTGAGGCTCAAACAGGCTGAGCGGCATGAACAAGTTCACTCAGGACTGCAGAGTAGAGCAAGCATTTGAAGCCAGAGCTCTCGGGCTCTGCAAACCATGGCACTTTTATTAGGCTACAGTTATCAGCCCTGAGGTGGTAGAGGAGATGGCTATCCAGCCTTGAGATACTATCACTATATTCAGGTGAAGATTCTTGTCTCCAAAAGAGCAGGTCAAAAACTTAAAAAAGTATAGGTTTATTGAATATCTGTTACATGCCAAGTACTATGATAGGAACTGAAGATGAGAGATATCTATTTTTTAAAGAGAGAGAGAAAAGGTAACATTTCACTGAACTTGAGGAACATAATAGCACCTATTGAAGAAGGCAAAAAAATGTTAAAGCATATTACAATGCAATATGTGAAATAATTGGATATTAGGACATTTGTCTCTCTTATAGCATAGTAATTAGCATTAAAAGAGAATTGAGAGAAGAGACTTTGTTGATTAAATATTGCATTTCCTATCACTCCTAGTACTTGGGTGTGCACTCCTCATTGTTTAAAGGAAAAGTTACATTTTTGAAATAACTGTTACATAATAGACATTATCAACCACATTGCAAATATATAAATATATTTAATTTTTAAAAGTTTATTTTCAATATTTAAAATAATCTAAATCAAGAATCTCTGCGAGAAAAGACATACTTGTGGTGAACAGCTCTGCAGAGCATTGTGGACTGGAAATCCACAGGAGGCCATGGCAGCTACTTCATTTATTTTATAGCTAGCAAGTTGCCAGAGAGCTTTGGAGGAAATGGAGAAACTCAAGTAAGTTAGACAAGAGCTAGGTGAAGGTAATTCAGGCAATGGTTAAAAAGATGGATATTTTTATTATAATTAATAAGAATTAATGCAGTTTTAGGAGATAGTAGTGGCAATTGTAAATAATGAAGGTAAAAATTTAATAACTGAATGAAATTTAAAATTAATTGTTATTGATAGCCAAAAATCTTCCCTGCAAGAAGGTACTTACGTTAAGCTAAATTGGTTAGAATGATTCATTCTTTGAATGGAGGAGTGTGAGCCTGAAAAGTCTCAGTGAGAGAATCCTGATATAGTTTACTTAGCTAGAAGCAGGTGCCTAAGAGTATAACAGAAAGGGAACACTATTTCAGTAAGGGACTAGAGCAATCTTTTAGTCAAGTCCTATTCAAACCATCTGTATTAAATGAATATGTTTTTCTAAAATAAACAAAAGATTATTTTTAAAATTTCTAATCCATTGTAGATCAATATTTTGCAAAATTCAATAAAAATAGAAAAATAAAAGACATACACAATATAAGCTTAACTTTAAAAAATATGTTGCTTGGCAAATATAAAAGTATATTGTTTAATTGTTATACATTTCCTAAATTCTTATTCTTTAATTTCTACATTTGAATAACCAAGAACCAATAATGGTTTGCAGATTACTAGATTATTTTTGGAGAAGTCCACACACAGTGTATTAGTTAGGATAAAATTAGCTAAGGTAATAAGTAAACTCCCAAATATGCAAAGGCTCAAACACAATAGAGGTTTATTTCTTGCAAAAGAGTCTTAGGTGGCAATCCTTAATGCAACAGTGCAGCAATGAGGTTCTTGACCATGCAACTTTCCCAGGCCTTGTGTGCCAAACATGCATCTTAATCCAGACAAAAGAGAGAGAGCAGGTATGCAGAGGCACCTGCCTTTTAAAATGCTTAGGCCTAAAAGCAACATACATCCCTTCTACTTATATTGGTGAGAATTATGCATGTGATCATGCATAGATACAGGGAGTTTGGGCAATATAATTCGTGACTGTACAGACACCTCCCAGCAGTTACTCTATATTATTGTAGAGGAAGCATGAACTTGGGTGGACAGCCAACTTTTTCTAGCTTGCCTCATCAAAAACAAATCATTGTTTTGGCTTCTGTGTATCTTTTGTTATGAGAGTAACAACAAAAACAAAAATGATTATAATAATGTCAGATAAAATAGTCAATATTTATTCAGAAACTCCAGTATACCAGATATAGAAGTAAGGACTTTTAGTCATGATTTTATTTTAAATAGATAAATTGGCATTTCCAGTATTAGTAAGGATTTGTAAAAGGTATTTTGAGTTGATTGCCTCTGGGTGGGCTAATAGGGGGGACTTCTATATTTTTGTGGCTGAAGGCAGGACTTTAGGAGAAAAATGCCTCATAGAAGCGCATATATATCTTTCCCTTGTATCACTGCTTTCCACTGTGAATATATCAATAGAGACACAGGATTTTAAACATATACCAGACGTTATAGGGGAAGATGCTCTGGCTTACATAGTATTTGGGATTGGTGAGATAATGAGTCAAAACAGTATTGTTTTTCTTCCCACTTTGGCTGGGAAATTTATAAGACAATGACAACTCTCTTCCAACATATTTTGGCTGATATTCCTTTTGATTGTGTATCAACGTCTCAGGCAGGATGGGGCACAGGGAAAATTTCCATAGTTAGCAAGGCAACAATTCATTTGGTCAGACTGGAAAATAATATCATGTGGTTTCCAAGGAAATTTTGAAAAAATCTTCCCAAACATAAAGGTTTTTATTTTCCTCCTTAAAGGGAAATTATTGCAACTGGGAGTATTCTTGATTTGACATCCCAAAAAGAAAACAAATGTGTCTGAGATGAAATAGGAACTGGAAAAAGAAAAAATAAAATGAATGAACTTACTTTTCCTTATACTGTTTTATCATTTTACCTTCAATATAGAGTGAAAACCCATATATATATATGTGTATATATATGTATATATGTGTATATATATGTATATATGTGTATATATGTGTATATATGTATATATGTGTATATATGTGTATATGTGTATATATGTGTGTATATATGTGTATATATGTATATATGTGTATATATGTATATATGTGTGTATATATGTATATATGTGTATATACATATATGTATATGTATATGTGTGTATATACATATATGTATATGTATATATGTGTATATACATATATGTATATGTATATATGTGTATATATATGTATTTTAGCTGCTTTGATGTGACAACAAAATATAATGAGGAAGCATTATATTTCTATGTTGTTGATTCCATTCTAGCAAAAATAAAAATTCAAACAATCTACAAAATCATAATTTTTCTTGAGACCATCAGAAAGCTGAGATTACAAGGCAACCAGGTGAACTGAATTTCAGAGGATATGAGACCCATGGAGAAATGGGATACATAGACTGTTTTATCATAGAGTACCAGAAGAAGAGGTGGCTCCCTGAAAAGGGATAAGTTGAAAACAACTAAATTTCAATAAGTTCTTCAAGACTTAGTGATGGTTAGTGTGACAAAGTTAATTCTTCCCATATTCAATGAAAGTCTGCACATACTTGCCAAGTTCTTTTCTCTGTCTCTATTTTGGTTTACCGGAAAGAATGTGGGTAAGGCAGCAGACATGTGTGAGAGCACCCCTTGGTATCACACAGGAAAAAAAAATCTTGTTATTTTCCAAGATCCATCTCCTATTCAAAGCAAAAGGTTTACACTGATGGGAGAGGACTCAAAAATATTTTCATGCCAAAGGCTCAGGCGAGGTTTGCTACTATTAGAAGAGAGAAAGAAGGAAGAGAAAACATCTGCCTTAGGAAGAGGCCAAAAACTTGCTAGGGCTCAAGATCGTGCATTGAAAAAAAGCAAATATCTGCTCCCACCACTGGTGGAAAAAATACACTGAGCCTTTCTCTCCACCTGCCCCCAATAACTGGACAAAATTTCGCTGTCACCGGGGGTGCATGTGGTGGCTGAAACGTGAGGGAATTCCACTCCAAGGCGCAAATGCTCAAGGTCTGCCTCAATCTGAGCCTGGAGGAGAGGAACCAAACCCACCCATCCCCCCCCACCCACCTCATTGGCCGGGCGCGGTGGCTCAGGCCTGTAATCCCAGCACTTTGGGAGCCCGAGGCGGGCGGATCACAAGGTCAGGAGATCGAGACCATCCTGGCTAACACGGTGAAACCCCGTCTGTACTAAAAATACAAAAAAAAAAAATTAGCCGGGCGTGGTGGCGGGCGCCTGTAGTCCCAACTACTTGGAAGGCTGAGGCAGGAGAATGGCGTGAACCCAGGAGGCGGAGCTTGCAGTGAGCAGAGATGGTGCAACTGCACTGCAGCCTGGGTGACAGAGCGAGACTCCGTCTCAAAAAAAAAAAAAAAAAAAAAAAAAAAAAAAAAAAAAATTACATTCCACAAACACCTCACAGCAAATAACAAACAACAGTTACTGACCCCTTGGGAGGGACAGGAGCACAAAGGCAGACCTCATCTGTGGGGTAAGCATGTAGGGCCTCCTGAAAACTGAGGATAGAAAAAGAACCCTGAAACAAATTTGGGGACACTCTAGGAACCAAACCAAATGAGATAATATCAGTACACTGCTTAAGTAAGTATGATACACTGAATGCAAACATAGTAACACATTTGTAAACTCAGTTTAACTACTTGCCAGATTAATTTATTGACTTGACACCTATGCATACTTTGACAGCCTTACAGAAGAGGCATGTTCTATTCCAATTGCTACAGTTAAATACTATTGACTTGACTGTCTGCCTACACTCATGTACAGAGTTTAATTTTTTTTAAAAAAATTGAGAACCACAAAGAGTAGAGGAAAAGATACACAGTTAAATGATAAAAACGTTAACAGAAATGGACCCAAAGAAAAAGTTAACAGAAATCGACTCCAAGAAAAGCCAATGATTTGGAATTATTCAAAAGGATCTATAAAGAGTTAGTTAAGTTATAAGAAATAGGGGGAAAGTTAGAATATGTATAAAAATAAGTGAAGAATTTTGACAGAGAAAAAAAGTTATAAAAATTAATCAAATAAAAATTCCACTTGCGTGTGTGTGTGAGAAAGAGAGGAAGAATTATTTCTTTCACTTTCAGGAAAAATAAATATGAACCAGGATTCTATAACTAGTTAAGGGTATCTTTTAAAACAAAGGTGAAATAAAAGCTTTTTCAGACAAACAATATCTGAGCTAATTCATTGCCAGCATGTCTACCTTAAAACAAATATTAAAGGACATTTTTTAAACAGAAGAAGTATAATCCAGATATAAATTTCCATGTGCAGAAAGAAAAAATGCATAGAACTATTAAAAGAAGAGGAGGAGGAGGAAGAAGAAGAGGAAGAAGAGAGATTGAATATTAGAGACTTTTTTCCCACATTTAATCTCTAAAAACAATTGCTGAGAATAATTAAGGGAGACCTAAACAAATGGAGACCACTACCATGTTCATGGATTAGAAAACTCAATATTGTTAACTTCTCATTTTTTCCCAAATTGATATTGTAGATTCAATGTAATCCTTATCACATACACTTTTTTTGTAGAAATTGACAAACTGATTCTAACATTTATATGAAGGGATCCAGAGTATGTATGCAAAACAACTTTGAAAAATAAAAACAAAGTTTAATTTGATTTTAAACTTTATAAAGTTATGATAATCAAAAAATATGTTATTGGCCTAAGAATAGGCATATGGATTTATAGAACAGAATAAATAGTTGAAAAACAGGCTCTCACATGCATTGTCAATTCATTCTGAACAAGGTGTCAAGGTAATTCAATGCAAATAATCTTTAGCACAAATGATGTTGGAACAATTAGATACTCATGTCCTCCCTCCACCCAACCCTTCCCCAGAAAAAAAAAGAGAAAGGAAAAGAAAATTGACACCTTACATTATATAAAAAATTATATTCTACATGAAGCGTACTCCTAAATGTAAGAGTTCAAACTAAAATTTACTGAAGGAAACAGAAGAAAATTATTGACATTTAAGGTTAAGCAAAACTGTTAATGCAGTTAGCAGTTAGGGGTATCTTTACTGTATATAAAACTTAAAATAATGACAAACAATTTCATTATGCAGAAAAACACTTGCATTTTGAATGATAGTATTAATAAGATGAAAACATAATACACCCTGGGAAATTACATTAAAAAACACATCAATAAAGAATTTGATATAAAAAATTCTTGTGACTAAATAAGACAGCAAATGATCCAATTAAAATGAATAAGTTATTTGAATAGATAATTAAAGAATATATACCATTGTAAGTGAGCATGTGAAAAGATACCCAACATTTGCCGTATGGAAATGTACAGTAAAACCATGATGAATTACTACTAAACACATATTAGAATAGTGAAAATCAAAAAGACTAACAACACCAAGTGCTTGTAAGAATGTAGAACAACTGAGAATACAAAATGTTACTCTTATTTTGGAAAATTTTTGTCAGTTTCTCATAAATTTAAACATACATTTTCCATACAATTCAACATCCTCACACCTAGATATACCTAAGAGAAATCAAAACGCATATCCACTCACAAATACTTAAATGTTATGGCAGCTTTGTTCATAACCTCCCCAAACTGAAAACAATCCAAATGTCAATTAACTGGTAAGTAGATACACAAATTGTGTTACATCTATATAATGGAATAATCCTCAGTGATAAAAAGGAGCAAACTACTGATACATATAACAAAATGTTTACATGTAAAAGCATTATGCTGAGAGAAACAAGTTAGATAGAAAGGCCCACATGATTCCATTCATATAACATTTTGGAAAAAGCAACACTGTAGTGACAGAAATCAGATCACTGCTTGCCAGGGGTTGAGTGATGGGGGTGGGGTAAGGAAAGGATTGTCTACAAAGGGTACAAGGAAACTTTCTTTGGGTGATAGAAATATTATAAATCTTCCTTGTGTCAAGCTTATAACTATATAATTAATAACTTTCATTGAACTGTATAATAAAAGGAATATATTTAAATCATACCTCAGTAAACCTGATTTAAATAATTGAAGAGAAATTAAAGAAAGTATGGAAATCCCAGAAGGAATACTTTGATAGAAGAAGGTCTCCTTAACACAATTCTTCACCTAAAATTGTGAGAAACTCTTTCTGTTGTGTCTTAGTAAATGGAGATTTCCAGATTTCACTGACATTGCTGAAGACAGGCAAAGTAGGATTAGGGCTGCAATTCTAGATAATGTGTTTTTTTTTAATTATTATTGTATTTTAAGTTCTGGGATACACGTGCAGAACATGCAGGTTTGTTATATAGGTATATATATGTGCCATGGTGGTTTGCTGCACCCATCAACCTATCATCTACATTAGGTATTTCTCCTAATGCTATCCCTCCCCTTGCTCCCCACCCACCTCCAGGCACCAGTGTGTGATATTCCTCTACCCATGCCCATATGTTCTCATTGTTCAAATCCCAATTATGAATGAAAACATGCGGTGTTTGGTTTTCTGTTCCTGTGTTAGTTTACTGAGAATGATGGTTTTATGAACAGACACTTTTCAAAAGAAGACATTTATATGGCCAACAAACATATGAATAATAGCTTATCTTCACTGGTCATTAGAGAAAAGCAAATCAAATCCACAATGAGTTACCATCTCATACCAGTTAGAATGGTGATCATTAAAAAAGTCAGGAAACAACAGATGCTGGAGAGGATGTGGAGAAATAGTAATGCTTTTACACTGTTGGGAGTGTAAATTAGTTCAACCATTGTGGAAGACAGTGTGGTGATTCCTCAAGGATCTGGAACTAGAAACACCATTTGACCCAGCAATCCCATTACTGGGTATATACCCAAAGGATTATAAATCATCCCACTATAAAGACACATGCACACGTATGTTTATTGCAGCACTTTTCACAATAGCAAAGACTTGGAGAATGTGGTTTCTAAGAACTAGAAATAATAACATAAAAGACTTGTAGAAGGAGCCCACATGACGTGATAACACTTCTCACTAGCAATATTATGTCTTCAAAATGGCTATGAGAAGAACTTTTACTATTTTTTGTAAATCACTGCCCAGGAATTTTTTTTTAAACATGACCTTTTAAGTCATCTTGAGTCACCTTACTTGATTGTGAAGAAAATAAGAAATTAAAGCTGGGGAAAGGTGGGTTACTTACCTTTTAAAAACATAGTTTTGGATAAAAGATATTTTAAAAAAATGATTCCTGCCTTTTGAACCAGAATTTCATCCTGAAATCTAAAATAAGAAAAAAATATAGAAAATGTTTTTAAAATGTGTGAAGGTTTATAAATAATACTTTTATTAAAAAGTTGGATCATTTAAAATTTCCCATGTGATTATAATTATGTCAAAAATAAAAATACAAATATATACACAAACAGAAATAAATATTTAAATAAAATAATGTTGTGTTTTCTAAGATGGCTGGTATTATGTATTTATTATTATTTTCCTTATTTTAAAGGGATTAAATTAACACTAGTACCATATTTTTTCATGGTACTAGTGTTAATCTTGCATGCAACATGTTTTTGAAAATCTCATGTTTTCATCATTTGGTCCCTAAAAGTAATCCAGAGAATCTAAGATTATAGATATTAGTAAGAAGCCAAGATTATATGTCTTAATAAGGTTAAATCTCTGTGAGAAACGGTAGCTGTGGTAGAGAGAACAATTCAAAGACAAAAATTACTAAATTGTCTTTAATTGAGCAACTTCTGTTATTATTGTTTTTCCTCTGTGGCAGGCTGTACTGGGATGCATATTAGATGATCAGAATTTGCTCTGATTTTAATTGCTTATCCATTACTGTATATTATTTTTAAACTTGTCAGCATTAAAAAAAAAACACAAATATTTACTATCTGAGAGTTTCTGTGGTTCGGGAATCTGGGTGTTATTTAGCCTGGAGCCTTTGGCTCAAGCTCTTTCAAGAAGTTGTAGTCAAGCTGTTGGCAGGAGTTGCAGCCCCATCTGAAGGTTCCACTGAGCAGGGGGAGTCTATTTCCAAGCTAACTCATATGGCTTACGCCTGGCCTTGGTAATGAGATGGAGAGAGAGATAGAAAGACAGAGTTAGATGGAGAAATGAGAGAAATCACCCCAGATGGAAGTTGCAATCTTTTTATAACCCAACTAAGAGTTGGCATCGTGTCTCTTCTGCCAATTCCTGTCAGAAGTGAATCAGTAAGTCTAGTCCACACTCAGGGAGACAGGATTATTACACACAGGCATGAATGCCAGAAATCCAGAATCCCTGGGGGTTAGAGACTTTCGACCACAGCTCACATCAGTTTTTCTATCACCAAGGCTCACCCTGGTCCTTTAGGGACTCTGATCTTTCTACCTGGCTTGCACCTGTGCTGGCTGTCACATACACTCACATTCATAAAATGTTGATCATTTCTAATCTGAGTTAGGGAATGTTAATGCATTAATCATTAAACTCAGGTTTCTTCTTAATATGTTAGTTGCCTTCTTTCTTAATCACATTTTTTTTTTTTTGCTGAGTGATTAATAAAAAATCAGTGGTTTGAGGGTCTGTAAGAAAACCACATTTCTAATTATTTGTATTGAGTAACTGATCTAAAATGATAGACAACAGATATTGAGCTGATTTGTGTTACGAGTAGGATAAAAACAGCCATAATTTCTACAATAGATTAATAAAACAAATCTCAATGACTAAATGCTTAGAAGTGTAAAGCATAGTCATAAATACAGTTCAATGTGTAGGCAGTAAATGCCATAAGTAATCTTCCAATTCTAGATATTTCTTACCACTGAAGTGGAAAATAAGCAACTTAACCTACAACTAAGCTTGAACCCTGTGGGATTAATAAATAACCAGAAGTTTAAATACTTAGTTTAATTTTAGGATGAGAATGACATAAGCTTATTACTCACATAAGACTCTCTTGAATTTTCTACATTATCTACCAAATATAACCACTGAAAATTGTACTGATTGATAGTTGTGGTTAAGTTTGTAATTTACTCATTTGACTTTTTTCTCCCTAAAGTACCCAAGACTTATTTTGAAATAGCACACCCTTTATTTTGTAGAATTAGTCTACTTGTCCTCCCTCCCGCTATAATATATAGCCCCTAAAGGAGCTGCCATTTCCTTAAATAACCTGCCTTCTCCCAGCCATCTAGAGTCAGGGATGGCTGGGAATCATCTTCAGGTATGTATTGTACTCTATTTTCTTGAGCATAGTTACTGGTTTTGGATTGGACCCATGACCATGGGTCAGCCAATCAGAACTTTACTCTGTGATATTTTGAATAAGCCAAAACGAAGAGCCCTTCCCTCCTATGTGACAAAGATGAGAAGCTGAGAACCTTGGCCTGCTGTCTCCACTGCTTCGAAGACATGGAAATGGGTGGTCTGAATGAAGCTGACTCCTAGAGTCAAGAGCCTGGTTATTTTAGAGTCTCTGCTTTCAGTCATCTCTAAGGTCAGCTGTGCCTGCTGTTGCCAGATATGTTGCATGGGTCAATACCTTTTTTAAAACTTTTGTCTAAGCACATCTAAATTTGGTTAATATTACTAGATATCATCACATCTTAGATCATGCAGATATATTCATATTGCATATATTAAGAGGTAATAATATGAATGAAATAAAGAGACAAGTAAAATGGAAAATAAATAGGTTAAGAAAACTAAATAATGCATTCATATAGGCTAACAGTAAGTGATAGAGAAATATAATTTGAACTTGCAGAATAACTGAGTTTGAATGAGTTTTGATTTGAAAAACTGAATTTGAGCAAAGTATTAATTTATATTAAAACAGAGAAATGGCTATAGTTTATTGACAGCTTATTACAAGCCAGACACTGAACCATGGTTTGGACTTATGTGGATAATACTTCTTAATTATTACCTTTTTTAAATCAATGCTCTGACCTAGGTATTATTATTTTCATTTTACTGATGAAGAAACTGAGTCTAGTAGAGGTAACTACCCTTACTCCAGGCCTTCTAGTAAGTGCAGTCAGGATTTGAACTGTTTGACTACAAGTATTTATTAAGGCCAGGCTAGGCAGATTACAGATTATTTTTGTTCTGTAGGCAGTTGAGAGATACTATTTGTGTGTGTGTGTGTGTGTGTGTGTGTGTGTTTAAAGCAATATCTACCTTCGTGAAAGCTCTATTTTTAGAAGATGAGTTTTCACAGCAGTGTGCAGAAATGGATTGGAGAAAGGCCAGGCATATGTTAGGAAGCCATTCAGTAGGCTAAAGCAGCAGCCCATGTGTGGGATGATACTGGGAAACATTTAAAATAAGCAAAGCTACAGGCTCGGTGAGTGGGTGAAACTTCCCACTCTGTAAAATACAGGACCAGATTTTGTATGTATGATTTACTATTCCCCAGGCAATGTATATGATAGAAAATCTTATTGTTAGGGGAAATGTATAACACTTCTTATCTGATCAGTGTCAACAGCAGCAAATGTGACCTTTCCTCATAGAACAGTAAGTAAAAGATGGCCACTGGAACAGATTCAGTGATGTTGTGCTACGCAGCTTGGATCACATGGAATTGCTGGATTGATTTACAGTTACTACTTGGCCCTGTCTTCCCATATATGTGGAAAACTGCATATGTGTTTAGCTTGTATCTTATTACTCCTAGTTTTTTCCACTTTGCTTATATTTTGAAATTACTTGGAAGACAGGGAGTTGTTTAATAAATTTTGTCATAGTCCTGGTGAAGATGACACACCTTTACTATGTTGGATTTTTCTCTACCTCCCCGGAAAGAAGTGTAACACAAAGGCAGAGCAAAGGAAAGTTCCCAGAAATCCTGACTTTCAAACTGAATCATCAGCCACAAGCTGAACACTTGTATGCAATAAATCAAGAATGCAACATTTTATTCAGATGCCATGCATTAAAGCCAATTTACAGCCTCAGGTATTACTAAGTACCTTGGAGGAGTCAGTGACAGAAACAATAGACTTTCCAATTATTATGAAAAGGTGGTGAGAACCCGCTCTGCCCCTGTGAGACACTTCTTCATCCACAGTAACGATTTGGCTTCACTCTGGGCTATGCATGTTTCAGCAACCCATCTGATGGCCTCCCCAGTTCTGGGATTCTTTTCAAAGATAAGGGTATCGAGTGACAATTTTAATGTTCTGCAGTTCTGAGTCACTCACCAAAGTGAAAATCCAACTTCAACTGCATGTAAAGATTGTAGCATTATCCTAATAAGACAGAGAGGAGGAACTCATTGGAGGAATGATATCATGTTAATTAAAGCATTCAAAGCCACTTGATATTAGCATACCATTTGGATTAAATACATAAATAACTTTGTTCACACTAGTGAGTTTATCAATTTACATTTAGTCAACTTTATGTACAGATATAGACATGTTCCTGTTGATGCCATGAATATTTTCAGGGTTTCTTTAAAGGGGAAATTTAAAAATGGCAATCTGATTTTGAATGGCCTAAAGGTTGTTGTGCTTCAAGCACATTTGCTTAACACTCCATAGAATTAAAAAATGTGTGTGTGTGTGTGTGTGTGTGTGTGTAGTTCACATCAAAGAATGGGAGGTGTTCTTTAAAGCTGGAGAGGGTACTTTGAACCCTAATCAGGCCAGTGCCTCACACACCACTCTTTTCACCAGCCACTCCTTCGTACTCCTACTTAGTGACATTATTGATTATTTTACATTTTTAGGATGTCTGATAGAGTCTGTGTTCATTCAAGCTTAACCCAACTGTTTTGCAGCTTGAAACTTCAGTCAATTTTAAATTATTTTATCTATCCAACATCAAACAAATATCCTAACTAAAATTTTTACAGAAATAACAGAATTGGTCATTTGTGACACTAGATAATCATAGCCCAAAGCTACATTACTATAGTTAGAATAAACAACCATGTTAAAAACCAAGTATGTAATTTAATCATTTGTAAAACTCAAAGAAAGCCATAGGAACTACTTCAGCGTTTATCTAGAAATGTATTAGTAGAAATTATAAATATTCAAAATTGATATTTTGTATGTATAAATAAATTTTAGCAAATTAATTTGGTCTCTCTACAATGAATTCTGTACACTTTGAACATATTGCTTCCAGAATTATGTAAAATACTTGTAATTTAGACAATAAGGAAAGAGAATTTTTCTGAGGGCCTATTGCAAACCAACTTGTAATGACAGCTCATAATTACTGAGTGCTTACAGTGTGCTCAGTACTATAGGCTAACATTTGATATGTTTTCTCAGTATCCAAGGTTTTGATGAGAAAACTGAACTACAAATAGATTAAGTAATTTGACCAGGGCGATACGTAAGAATTGGAGCCATAATTTGAACTTGAGCAGTTTGATTACAGAACATTTGCATGTAACCTTTATCCTAAATTGTCTCTCTTGCAGGAATCGTGGACAAAGAAACTATGTGATTCACTGTGAAGGACCTGTTAATAAAACTGCAATTAAAAAAGAAATTCATAATAATAATAATAATAATAATTTACTTATTTATTTGCTTAAATGTTTCAGTTTTGGCCACAGGGAGCTCTTTCAGTTGATTCCTGTGTCCCTTTGACATAGTCTAAACTACAAACACCTTTTCTTTGTAATTTTGTCTTGAAGTTTTTTTTTTTTTGTGTGTGTGTGTGTGTGTGTTCTTTTGTTTGTTTTTTGAGACAGGGTCTCCCTCTGTCACCCTGGCTGCAGTAGAGTGGCACAATCTCAGCTTACTGCAACCTCCCCTTCCTGGGCTCAAGCGATCCTCCCATCTCAGCACCACAAGTAGCTGGGACAACAGGTGCACCACCATGCCTGGCTAATTTTTGTATTTTTTGTAGAGATGGTTTTTGCTATGTTGCCCAGGCTGGTCTCGAACTCCTGAGCTCAAGCAATCCACCTACCTAGGCTTCCAAAGTGCTGGGATTACAGGCGTGAGCCACTGTGCCTGGCCTGTTTTAAACACTATTTTATGGCTCTTCAAGGTGCTCTAGGTTCATCTGGTATATTCATGTCTCAGTCTTAGAATTAACCATTTCTCCCAGGGATAATTGGAGAACTGTATTGGAAACCAATAACTGGGTGGTAGATGTGCTTGTTGCTACTGGGATGTCATTGTCATAAGCCCTAAGCATATAGCAAGAAAATATATTCTTGTATACTAACAAATGTACGTAGACACATCTATAAATATTCCCATATGTATCAATCTATATCTATATTAAGCTAAACACAAGTTCGTACTGTTGTCTCCAACTCTGATTTGTTAACATATGAAATATTCTAGCCTGTTTCCTTTGTTGTCTGTGTTCTCCCACTCCAATAATGAGAAGCCTGTCTCCTGCCATCAGTAATCCACTTACTTAGCTGTTTAATTTTAGTATAGAGTTTTCAGAATTGTTTGCCAGTACTCACATGAAAAACAACTTTAACAACTAGAGTATTATGCTCATTTACAGTTCCTTTTGGCTTTAGTCTTAGTCCCTACTTATTTCTAAAGTTACTTAAGTCAACACTTCTCCCACACCTGCTTTAGTAAAGTAATTTCATATATTTGTAACACAGTTAGATTTTGTCATCATAGTATTCATTCTATTCTGGGATCCACTGATGTTCTAAATTTTTTTTTTCAATTGCATATATTAATATTCACTTTGTGCCTTAAGGTTTATGTAGATTTAAAAAATTTTACAGTATCAAGTATCCACCGCTGCAGTATCCTAAAAAATAGTTTCATAAATAAATGAGTAGAAAAGTATGGACAAATTTCCAGTGCAGAAAATTCCAAATAACTTATGCATATATTATACATTCAGGAAGATGGAATTTAACTCCTTGTTTCTTAAGTATGGATTGCACATAGTGACTTCCTTTTTACGAGTATAGTTTGGAAAGAAGGAAAAAGAGTAATTTAATTGTGGAGCAACCTGACAAACTACTTCAGCTTGGTGATCAAGATTAACATCAATAGTAATAAGTCATGTTATTGGCATGAGACCTCGACATGAAGTGATGAGACTGGCCCTTTATCTCTTGGTCTTCCTTCCAAAAACCCATAGCCCCAGTCTACTTATGAGAAAAACACCAGACAAAGCCCAGTTGAGGGATATTCTACAAAAAATCTCATTAGTACTTTCCAAAATGGTAAAGATCGTCAAAAACAAGGCACATCTGAGAAACTATCACAGTCTGGAGGAGTCTAAGGAGACAGGGTGACCAAATGCAATGTCGTATCTTGGATAGGATCCTGGAGCAAAAAAAGGATATTTGGTAAAAAGTAAGTAAATCTGAATAAAGAATCAACTTCATAATAATATATTAATTTGGCTCATTAATCTTGAACAGTGTACACTTATAAAAGACACTAATTATAGGAGAAACTGGGTGTTTGGGGAGGAAAGTATATGAAAACTCCTTCCTATCCCTATACAACTTTTCTATATAAAACTGTTCTACTATAAAAAGTTTATTTAAAAATATATAACATAGGAGGCACAACTTTAAAAGAAGCATAACTATGGCACAGATCAACTTCTTGTAAACTGGGTAGGTAGGTATCAAAGTGATGATGAGTAATTTCATGGAAAGAGTAACTCTTAAAATTCCAAACTAGAATTTGAAGAAAGGCGGACATGGGAAATCTGAAGGCAACAGGTCATTCCCCCAAAGGTTTGGATGGAAAGGTTTGGATGGAATTTTAAAAATATGCCAAAATACTGAATGCATGTGAGAAAGATACGCAATGTAATGATCTTCTCTATTTTCAGGAATATACAAATATTTGAAGTGTGTAATTGGCAAATAAGATTTAAACAAATCTAAGCTTCACAGGTTTCTGGGAAAAGATGATAGTGCTTTTCAGAGAAGATGTCAATGCATCTGCTGAACTCTGTTGGTCCACTATAGTATCTTCCTTAAGAAGGTTAAGCA
Organism: Homo sapiens; assembly: GCF_000001405.40. Classification (NCBI taxonomy): domain Eukaryota; kingdom Metazoa; phylum Chordata; class Mammalia; order Primates; family Hominidae; genus Homo; species Homo sapiens. The sequence continues at coordinate 117,656,926 of NC_000005.10, forward strand.
TTGCAAGATTAGCTAATGCAATTTTACTTGCCCAATTCCATAGATTTCACTGAATTCTAAATAGACTTATTCAAAGGTACTGGCTTTTTCATATCTTAGAAAATAAGGCATTTTCAAACAGCCAGAGAATTTTCTTCCCTTCCCGGAGTCAATATGTTTTATATTCCTATATTCTGCATAGATGAATTCACAGAATATTTTCTTTTCCTTCTTTGTTAGGCAGGATTGGTCTGAGGTATTTCTTCTCACTGATCGTGAGAAATCTGTGGTGTTTCTTAAACTCGAATTTGCACACTAGTAATAACCAATTGGTCTTACACATTTGAACTGAGCACATTTATTCTCTTTGATAATGATTTTCTAATATTAATTTCCTGGGAATGAGGAAGAAAGGGTACAAGAAAAGATGTACCAAATCTATATGTCAGCTTTTTCAAAGACTGTATGACAGTTGTGACTCGAAAAGAATCCGCAAGGTGACAGTAATCCCTTTCAGAAAGGAAAAACGAGGGCTTGCTAATTTTTGAACAAGTCTTAGGATATGTGAAAAGATTACATTCTAGCAAGTAGTCACATCACACTTCTGGTTGGTTATAAGATAGGCAGAGCTCATTCTGGAGGGAGAGGTCCTGGCAACCACTGCAGCCAAATCCTTAAAATGGCCGCCAAACTTCCATCTTCTAGTGACTAATTCTTACACAGATTTTTGCTTAAATATAGCATCATGAATGCACAGCTGCAGAGGATGTGCAAAACAGCCAAATTGTACACATTGCAATCTGTGAGGAGATTTTTCTTTCTTTTTATGTCTGGGGTGTTGTTTCAAACAACCATGTGGATGCTGTCTTTGGCAATCTGCCATTTCTCTAGCACATTCATAAAACAATTGGAATGGCAGTACCTGGGTGCTGTTCCCAGAGAGGCATATAATGTGGAACAGCTGCTCTTCTATTGAAATCATTATGGAGTGTCAGCCTGAGATATGAGTGGGCACTGGTTTAAGGATCACTGATGAATAATGACTAAGTGGGTTTTCAAAGAAGCAACTTGAGGTTCCCCCTCTCTGTCTGGCATTTTTGCACAGGAGCTGCCTGCTGGGAAGCTCAAGAAGAATCTTAAATGTCATTTAGAAAAACTGTCATGTCAACTTTGGCACAAAATATAACAGCCGTGTCCATGTTAAGCAGAATAGGCTACAGTGAGTTATCATGGAGGTATCATGGTTTCTAAGGAGTATGGCTTATAGAATATGTATAATTGGAAATAGAGAAATTAGAAATTTCCATAGATTTACACACCTGTGAAGTAAATGATTGTGTTGCTGAAAATAAAAATTATTAATCCGATCACTTAGCAATAGGTTGTGTGCATGTGTGTGTGTGTGAGACATTCCATTCCATCTGTAGCATATTTAGTAAATATTTTCGTAAACATTCATCACAAACCATCTACATATGTTAGCCAGTGAACTAGAAAATAAGCTATTAATTGAATGGAGCATGGACATGCCTGCCCTTATGGAGTTTATTTTTTTAATGGGGGAGACAGAATCTCACATGGCAATGTGATAAAGTTATGAGAGTTATAAATATAGGTCTTTCTTCCTTTTAAACTCCCAAAGCATCCATGTTGCTCAAGATTCAGGAGACTACAACAGCTTCAGAGAAAATAACATTTGGGCTGTTTCTTGAAGAATCAGTAGGTCACCAAGTTGAGCGGATTGGATACAGGGAGAAGTGTAGGAGAATGTTGGAGGGGAGTGTTTCAGAAGCTAATAATATGGTCTACAAATGAAGGAGAAACTAAACAGACTGTTATTTGAGAACAAGAATGACAAAAAGTGAGTATGAAGCAGAGAGAAGCTAAGATTGAAGAGAGGGGTGGCCAATAAATGTTGTATATATGTGCTCAGAGGTTTGGACTCACCATTGTGGGCCAGCACTGCCCCACGTGTCCCTGCACTATCATTCCCTAAAAGATGCTCTGTTAAAAAAAGGTTTTTGGCCGGGTGCGGGGGCTCATGCCTGAAATCCCAGCACTTTGGGAGGCCGAGGCAGGTGGATCACAAGGTCAGGAGATCGAGACCATCCTGGCTAACACCGTGAAACCCTGTCTCTACTAAAAATACAAAAAATTAGCCGGGCGTGGTGGCAGGCGCCTGTAGTCCCAGCTACTCGGGAGGTTGAGGCAGGAGAATGGCTTGAACCAGGGAGGTGGAGTTTGCAGTGAGCTGAGATCATGCCACTGCACTCCAGCCTGGGTGACAGAGCAAGACTCCATCTCAAAAAAATAAAAAAAATAAAAAAAATTTCAGTGGACAAGTGTGTTCTCATCTTAGAGATTCACAATGACATTAGGAAATAAAAAGCTTGCAGTAGACTTATAATTAAGAAGGCAGTTTAACTAGACAGTAGGGAGACAATCAAAAGATTTAAAGCAAGAAAATGTGTGAATAAGTTACTTTTAGAAGAAAGTTATGCCAGAATTGTGGGAAATAAACTAAAATAAAGAAGTCTGGGGAAGAAAGCAATAACAGTTGAGTCCATGGGACCGTGATGAGACTCAGAGAAAGAAGTGACAATAGGAATCAAATGAATCAGAAATGCATCTCAAAATAAAATGAATCTGGTCCATGAGAATAATGAGAGATGTAAATCCAATGTCATGTTTTCTATTGGACCACGATAAGTTTGCATGAGTAGTACATTGCCATATTGATAGTGATAAAATTAACTATCATAAATTGAATGCCTACTCTTGTGTCTCACACTACATATGACATTTGAAAAATCATATCTCATTCCGTCTTCACAATAATCTAGAAAAGTAGGCAACATTGAAGGAAATAATCCTCATAAAGTTTAGATAAACTAGCCCACAATCATATACTTAGCAACTAACCAAGGTGTATTATAGTACTGATTTTCTGACTCCAGAGATTCTGTCACTGTAACACCAGCACCAAGCACAGACATTGGGGAAGAACTCCTGCCTAGAAGGGACACCCCATTGCAAGTACAGATGGAAGAAAATTTACGTTTACTAAGTCTGACATTCTGCTTGGAGAAGAGAGCCTTTTAAATGTCCCATAGTGATGGTTTGAGGGCTGGAGAGTTTGCCAGTAGTCATGGGGAAAGGTAGAGGTTTAGAAAATGTAGTTTGTACCTAATGTTTTACAGTGCTGCTCTATGCTTAAAGAGGCCATTCAACCAGTAATCTCAGTTTTTCACAAGTTTTCAAAAAATCAGAATGAAGAATAGAGTCATTTTATCCAAAACTGATGCCATTAAAGCCCTTATACAAGTGTTCATGAATCCAACTTATTTGAGAATATTTTGGATTCTCACAAGGACCCTAATTTTATTCATTTCAGAACTAACTCTTAAGTGTGTTTGCAATTCTTAGATTGCAGCAACAGAATGCATACTCAGTGATGAGCATGGGGGTCGCTCCCAGAGCCAGAGCAGGAAGAGAAGGAAGGAATGTTTATAGAGCAAGGGTGAGGACATCTGTGGAAAAGGGTCACCATTTCTAAAAGAAAATAATATTCAAAGAACAGAGCCAGCACATGCTAAGGAGAACCTTTAGGAAGAACATACACAAATAGCATGATGAGAACAAAGTAGCAAGGGCACACTCTTATTTATTTATTCCACAAAATGTATTTGATGCCTTCTAGGTGTCAGGCTCATGCTTGAAGTTGGGAAAGCAGAAATACACAGACATGAAATATGTATGGAAATGCTGATGAGATATTCTTTACCCAGCCCCTGCAGTACAGACTTAAGACATTCTTTCTTTCTCACCAAGGAATCCTCTCCAACAGCATACTTAAGGAGATGCCGAAGAGTTAGTTCCCAATATAGTATATGTGAATGTGACCACAGCTATAGAACATGATAGGAATCAGATCCACCAATGGTTTAAGAGATGCTTGAGCTTACAATCCTGCCAGTTGTTGTTGTTGTTGTTGTTGTTTTACAGTATATAATAGTCCCCGGGTGATTTTTGACAGCAGCACAGACTTTTTTTTTTTTTTTTTTTGAAACTTCTTTAATTGATGGATTCCAGTTGGCCTGGAACTACTGTCACTTCCTCTAAGAACAGAAACAGTATTTCCTGGAATCCACTTCTTTGTAAGAACTAGCAAAAGATTTGAAAGAGGGAAATGAAGACAGTTTTTAATATCTACAGGCAGTTACAGCTGGGTGAACATAGAAAGTAGAAAGTAGAATAGTTAGTTCTCTCTTCTTATCTTCTTCCCCAAATAAAATCTGAAAACTCTTTTTTCTTAATGACAAATTCTCTAATAAATAATACTGTAAAACATATTAAAGATAATAGCCTAAAACTATAGGTTGTTTATTATAAAACAGCTGCATAGGCAGTATCACTATTTTTGTAACTGAAGTCAGAGCATCATCTTTAAGAAACGATTTGCACAGAGTTAATTTACAGTAGCATGTCAGACAATGTCTCTTTCTCAGGAGAAATTCCATAGATGTTCTAATATATAGCTGGATAAGAAGATGAGCTCTGAGCTCCTAATCAGGATACCCTTACAATTCACTTTCTTTGATATCATGCCAATAATCACAACTTTAACAGGAATTAAGATATTTCCCACAAAGGAGAGAGGCTTTCCATGATCACAGTATAGTAACAGAACTGCTTGTGGTTTAAGTAACTACCCACACTACCTCGATCATCATTCTGAAGGCCAACTAAGGTATAAGCCAGGTGTTTTGTAGATGGTAGAGGCAGAGGAATAAAATATGAAAGTAATAAGAGAGAAACACAAAAGATGAACTTCACTTCATTCCTCATATTGCAGAGAGAGAGAGGCAGGCCTGAATATATTCACAATGACATGACTACGACAGGCAAGGTTAAACTACACTTTTCTACCACCATCTACGTAGACACCATTAATTGAATTAAACAAAGTTTCCCCCAAGAGGGAAAGAGTAATTGTATTCATGATAAGAAATATTGAAAGATTTTACGATAACAAGCATTTAAAAACCCAAGCATTTTTCTTATGGGTGTCTGAAAGAAAATCAGAGAAAACGGCTTATCACCCAATGTAACTTTTTCCTTAGGGCCGAAGCATTATGTCCTTTAAATGGAGTAGATTAATGCTGATATTCATTGTAATCCTGTTTTAAAATGTCAAGTTAGGATCAAGAGCTAGCTCTCTCATTTTGGAGATTCATTCATAGTAACATTTTATAGTATAATGGTGAAGCAGTTAACAACTCATTAATTGCAAGTACTGTATATTGAAAAAACATACCAAAACATTAAACTGTTTTTTTAACAGCAAATAAATGGAAGAAAAACATTCATGCCTGGGACATTTCCTCTGCATTAAAAATCTCTCCTGTAGGACTTTGCCAGAGTAAATATATTTCATCCATATGCAGAAAAAGGTGCTGTGGCTATGTAGCTGAATCAAAATTTTGAGTAATTTCAAAACACAATTTTATTTTCTCTAGCTTTTCATTTTTGATTCCATCTCCAAATCTATTTACATTGACTGAAGCTTTAGAAAGGTTTCAGTCATGCTCCAAATCCCTAAATGCCTCCATCTGAACCGACATCAATGGAAGTGAGATATAGCCCATGTTACAAACATTGCCAAGCCGGGGATTTTACCACAAGCCTTGGATTTCCTTTAGTGACAACAGCCAAAGAAACATTTATCCAGACCCTTTTCTTCCCAGCCACTAAAAGATAATTCAGGTTCTAATATTCCAAGACATTCTTTACCTCCCTCTCTCCATGATGTAAGTACATGGCTCTTTCCTTCAAGGATGAAACCTGAAGAATTTTAGGAGCTAATTGTCACCAGCACTTAGAAGTCTAATCACAGTGATAAAAAGGTGTTGTTTGGCCTTTACAGTTTTCTAAAGTGCCTATATTGAAAGCATGAAATATTATTTCAGGCGTGCTGGAGAGTGAATACTTGTTATTCATACTTGATTCAAATTAGGCCTTTTTAGATCTAATGCTTATCTTGTAAGATTAGTGCAAGCTATAATCAATACAGTCAAATTTCAGCACTTTCCTAAAATTAATACTGAAAGTCCAGAAGGGAAAATAATTGTACATTTAAAAATACAGAGCAGGTAATAATGCTTTTTGACAGCTTATGGTACTGATCACTAACCAAAATGGCTTGATAAATACAATTTTACTTGAAATTTCAGATCATTATCTCTCCCGATGAAGATGAAAGATATTGCTACAAGATATTCCCAGCTTCTAGCATCCACTAAAGTGGGTAGCCAATGTGTTTACAGTTGCCTGTAAAACATAATCCCATGTACATAACCCTGTGTTTCTACTGGTGTGCTTTGTTTTCTTGGTGATTGTCATGAACCTTTCAGACTGCAGTGAAGACTGAGGCTACAACCCAAAGATGGACGATGCTCAGGAACAAAAACAGCCAAGTTGCAAATACACCAAACTTCAAACAGAAATCTAATCACATCTGTTTATCAAAGTATAAATCTCATTGCACCAGCATGTTACACACAGACTGGTTGCTTTAGGCCAGGAAGATCTCCAACCATATGTTATACTAAAGAAACTTTTAAGTACATCTTGGGTTTATAGAAAGTAACGGGTTCTAATTAAACTAAAGAGCTTCTGCACAGCAAAAGAAACTGTTCATCAGAGTGAACAGGCAGCCTACACAATGGGTGAAAATTTTTGCAATCTATCCACCTGACAGAGGGCTAATATCCAGAATCTACAAAGAACTTAAACAAATTTACAAGAAAAAAACAACCCCATCAAAAAGTGGGCAAAGAATATGAACAGACACTTCTCAAAAGAAGACATTTATGCAGCCAACAAACGTATGAAAAAAAAGCTCATCATCACTGATCATTAGAGAAATGCAAATCAAAACCACAATGAGATAGCATCTCATGCCAGTTAGAATGGCAATCATTAAAAAGTCAGGAAACAACAGATGCTGGAGACGATGTGGAGAAATAGAAACACTTTTACACTGTTGGGAGTGTAAATTAGTTAAATCATTGTGGAAGACGGTGTGGCAATTCCTCAAGGATCTAGAACTAGAAATAACATTTGACCCAACAATCTCAGTACTGAGTATATATCCAAAGGATTATAAATCTTTGTTCTACTACAAAGACTCATGCACACATATGTTTATTGCAACACTGTTCACAATAGCAAAGACCTGGAACCAACCCAGATGCCCATCAATGATAGACTGGAAAAAGACAATGTGGCATATACACACCATGGAATACTATGCAGCCAATAAAAATGATGAGTTCATGTCCTTTTTAGGGACATGGATGAAGCTGGAAACCATAATTCTCAGCAAATTAACACAAGAACAGAAAACCAAACACTGCATGTTCTCACTCATAAACTACTCATACTCTCACTCATAAACAGTGAGAACACATAGACATAGGGAGGGAAACATCACACACCAGGGCCTGTCGGGGGGTTGGGAGCTAGGGGAGGGATAGCATTAGAAGAAACACCTAATGTAGATGACAGGTTGATGGGTGCAGCAAACCACCATGGCACGTGTATACCTCTGTAACAAACCTGCACGTTCTGCACATGTACCACAGAACTTAGAGTATAATAAATAATAATTTTTAAAAAGTAGGGACAGCAGTTCAGGTCAAAGGAAAGGCTGGTCTTTGGAGTCCATCACCCTGGCTTTATATCTTAGCTACCATGATCCAAATGTGTGATCTTGGGTAAGTTACTATTTTCATTGAGCTTCAGTGTCCACATCTATAAAATGATAAAATTAATATCTAACCTTTCATGAAAGCTTGTGAATATTCAATAAAGTAAAGAATAAAAAACACCTGGCTTGATAAATGATGCCTTATTGAAGCATTTGAATTTTCTTAGAATTGCTTCTAAGTTAAGTAGAATAGTTAGTTCTCTCTTCTTATCTTCTTCCATTCATCTTTCCCCACCCCACACAAAAAGTTATCCTATAAGAGGCAAAACTAATAGTAGTGGGTATATTTATGCTTATTCTTGGGTTCTGTGTCAGCATCTCTTATTTAAGACCCTAGATGGTCATCCATACAAAAAAAGGGAAATTCTCAATGATAAATAAATAAGCCTAGTTCTCCACTGAGAGCAGCAAATTCCCTGCTTGAGAGATTTCCTTGACTTCCAGGAAAAGATGCATGCTGCACTTTTCTTTCAAAAGGCCCCCATGAGAGAATATTTATCATCTTTAAAGCAAAGAGGCTGTAAGCAGCTGTGCCCATTCTACCACTGAGCCTTGGAGAACCGAGCCTTGGAGAACACTCTAAAACCACTTGCAGTCAGGGGGCACACCACAGGCTTTTAACTAACATTTTTAAAGGCTCTGTGCCAATAGCCAGATCCAATTGATACCAAGTCATCTAAACAATTCTACACCAATATGCTCACCTGTTGTATTATGCAATAACCATGAAAGTTTCTCTTCATCATAGCAAAAGTAGAGTCCCAAGAGGCTCTCCCAAACCATGCTTGTTTTGCTTCTCAGGCCAACAGAGTGGTATTCTATCATTACATTCTTAATTGAAAACTCACCAAATGCAATTGAATCTCTTTTCCTGGAGTGTTTCATAGCACATCTCTCTTACCCTGGCTGCTAGATAAAAGACTAACTTTAGAAAATTCTGTTTCTCTCCCGTCCCTTCTTCTGAATTAATATGTTTGCGTTTATTTCACTTTTACGTATGTTCAGTATTTAAAATGTTCATTGACTATAAACTTTAAAGTGCTTTGCGAATCACTCATTAGGTCAATAACTGCACAAAATAGGAAATGCTCTAACATTTATTTATTTCAAGTGTAAGTAGAGGATTACATTTATGGTGAGAAATTTTACATGGTCAGGGTTGGTGTGGGTCTGCTATTCTGATCCAGTGAGACCCTTCTGATTGGAAGGAGCAATTTACATTTTGACATGATTGACACAGTTTCTAATAAGGTATTCTGAAAGGAGTATTAATATTCTAAATGGCCCTGATTTCTAAGTTCAGAAACTCCCATCTGTGCCAATTAGCTGGAAATGATTGCACATATAGTGGAATTAATACCCTGCATTGGTTTTCCCAATCACAGTATAACTGCAAAGGTCAATTTCAATTGGTTGTTAAATGTTCCTATTAATATAAGAATGGAAGTTAAAAATGGTATCACCTATTTGTTTTTAAAGTCTTTAGTCAATCATGAAGCATTCATAATGCTTTATGAAAAATATCTTAATGTGAACAATCTTTCAATATGTTATATAACTGAGCAAATAAATAACCTTGGGACCTTGAAGGTTGACTTTACACTATTAAATAAAATTTAGAGGAAGCCATTGGTTTGGACTAAGGTCCTATGTTAGGCCCAACAGACTGAATCAGAACTGAGTCACTCATGCTGTATTTCCACATCACAAAGTCAAAATTCAATTGTATATCTGATTTTCAAAAACATCAAGAGAGAGAAAGAGAATAGCCAAATTCCCAAGCAAGCCAGTTCTTTCAGCATGATAAGGAAGTCCCTTCTGCTTTAACCTTAACAAAGAAACTTTGAAAGGGCCCATCTGCTTTTTGTCTTCTGTTTCTGTTTCTTCAGCTCCTTTTTCGCTATAAAACTAAACATCTCTGCACAGCTCATTGAGACGCTCAGTTTTCTTTATAAAATGTGGTGTTGGTGTTGCCTGATTCTAGAATTGCAAATAAAAGCCAAATAAGATCTTTAAACTAATTTTTTTTTGTAATTTTGTCTTTGACAACACCATCATAATGTTTTAAGTAAAACCCACTTTTGCTAAATTGTCTTGCAGAATTAAACAATGACTCCTTTATGTTTTAACAAAGGTGAGTGTTCTAAAATTAAGTCTTTCCCAATTAGACTTACTTGCCTAACAAAATCTTAGTGCCATCTTAAAAGAACCATGAAACGTATATTTTTTTCTAAATGATTTATTCTCAGTGAATTTGCAAAATATTTAAATCCTAGTCTTTCATCTAGTTTCAATGACTGCAGCGAAACTTACAGAGAAGTAGAAAAGGGCTACATATTGAAATTCCTAGAAAGGAAAACATATTTCATTTTCTTCTTACTTAGTCAGCGGTTAAATGCAGGAATCAGCAATTGCCTTCAGAAAATCATACTTTATCAGTGCATGGAAAGGGAGGGGGTTTGTAATTGCTTGGCCTAGAGTCAGGAGTGACATACACATCTGTCCTCAAAGAAAGCAAGCATTCCTAGTGCTAATAAATCAATCAATCCACAAGGAAATGCCAGAAGAAGGGACTAAAGTCTGGAAATTCACTGTTCCTTTGGAGCGTGTTTGCAGGTGAACCGTTGCCTTAGCTAGGCTGCTGAGGGGGGCAGCTGTGAGAAGGGAAGGAAGCTTCTTATGCATTTTATGCATAGTTCTTTTCAATAGAAGGCAGTAAATGACATCAAATTGCAAAGACATTGACTGAATATTGGGATGCATTCAAACTTAATTTTTCTTGGTTAACTCGATCATACTAACCATCAAGGTACAGATTTAGTAAGATAAAGCAAGAGTTCTTAAAAACAAAACCCCAAACCAAAGCTTTAGCAAAACTTCATTAATATCCTTTTCTCAACCAGATATTTTATATATAAATATAAATATGTATGTGTGTGTGTGACGCACACACAAACACCCACTAGCTGTGTGTACTAAAAGTCAAGAGCCAGGGTTTTCCTACAAAATTTACTTGGAAAATGTATACACACAAATCTCAAACATAAATTAGTAATTCTAACTGAGCTGTTAAACATTTAAGGATTTATCTATCACAGACTCCCTAAATGTATACCCAGCATTTGGCAGGATACAGTATGTAAGCAATAAGTTACCTTTCTCTGAATTTTTTTTACCAGACCCAATTTTTTAGAAAACAGTTTGGTTTTTTTTAGAGGGGCTGGGAATGGGGTTGGGCAAGGGTGTCTGGTTGTTGCAATTTCAAGTGTAAAAGTAGCTCACTTTCTTACCCTACAAAATACTATTGGATATATAGACTGTATAGTAGGGAGAAAATTTAAAAAGGAAATACTTAAAGTGGCCTATATAAAGTATTAAAAACAACTGAGTTCTTGACAAAGAAGAATTCAGCATATTAAATAATTTCTGTAACTCATATGTATCTTGGGCTAAATGTTAATAGTTAATTTGTTGAGTAAACATTCTCTTCATCCTATTACATGTAGAATGACTGCAGAAAATTTTTCATATATTACCTATTTGCAAATACACATCCTTCACATTCATATTTTTAGCTCTACATGTTAGAACACAGAATGTTAACCACAAAATAAAGGTCTGAAGATTGATTTATTAAGAATTAAAATGAAGTTATGAGAAGTGTCAAAATAATTATGCATCTGGAAATTTCTGTAATATCAATAATTTAAAAGCCTATTTCCATTTTATACAAAAGAATATCAGTAATCATCAAAGCTGATATTGGATCAAAAATGAGACATGGCTCCTGTGATTATATTTTTAGATAGATTGAAAGAGAGAAATCCAGATTTAAACATAGATATAAAGTAATATTTATTCAAATATAGGATATTTTAGTCACCAGATTTCACATGTGTTTTGTGATTGGAGTTACCATTAGTGAACAGCTATGTATTTACCATGGAATTTTGCCTGCCATCTAGGAATGCAGTGTTTCAGGCATGGAAATAATTCTGGATCATGTGAATATTAACAAAGAGGGGCACTGGAGAGTCATGAAGTTCTCAACAGAAAAATTCAAAATAATTTTAGCGGCTATCACAGCAAATATCTGACTTTGGATTCTTGGGACCAGCTTATTAAGAAAGACCCCTTCTGATTCTGGGCATCATTCAAACTTCATATTAACTATTTTTAACAAAAATAAAACAAACATTTGACATATTTTCATGTAACAAAGACCATTGCTTGTTCGAACAAGGATTATAAGACAGCTTTGAGTTCCCTAAGATGATCTCATGAATGTACTTATATTCTTTCCACTGAGTGCTGCTCTTCACAATTGGCCCCCTACTCTAGACATAGCCAACATAAATGTAAGACTATTAGGAGGACTAGATATTATAAAACTCTTAAAAGTTTTATAATAAACTCATAAAAAGTTAATAAAGTGAAATAACCCAAAGCCAAAGGGAAACTGAGTGTATACATGTGTGTATAAATAGGTGGATATATACATGATTGATTGATTAATCAAACAATAGATGATAGTTAAACATAGAGATATAATTTGTTTCATTATCAAAGAACTTAGGACAGTGATGTCCTCTCAAAATTTCATTTCCTAGTTACTAGCATACCTAGTAAAGTTCTAAAACATGAAACTTTTTTTGTAATTATACAGACAAGTTATCTTTATTCCATAAAATCTACTATAGTTAATGCCCTCTACTAGGTTATTGAAAGATAACCTCTTCAAAGATGCTTAAGAATTGTAAAAATATGCATATATTCCTGTGTATTGGTAGAGTTTTTTATATGTGTGCATAATTAAAAGAATGATGAATACCAATTTCACAACACTAGTTACTCCTGGGGAGAAGTTGGGGGATGAGCTGATGTAATTGTCATTTGGAAATGTGTCTTTACAGATAAGTGGTTGAACTAATTCCATACTAGCTAGTAAGTAGATGCTGCCCCAGTTCATCTGAGTGTTCCCTTTACCCATTCTCCCTTCAGTCCTTCTTCTGTGGACCACCTTAATAGCAAGGGGCTCCAGAATGTGGCTTTAGAACTTGGGCCTATATCAACTCCCTTTGTGCTTCTGTCTTATATGTAATTAGATAATGTGCATATCACTGTACATCTTTTGTATACTGTTTCCTAGAGCATTAATTCTTGGTTTGCGTTATGAAAATATAGATGTTTTATATCATTAATTAAATATACAGCAAATAAAAAGGGGAGAAGGGATCAAAAGACAAGTGGACAATTCACCAGAACAGTCTTCTATTTGTGACAATTTTTTCCTAAGCTTTGTGATGTACTGCATAATGGGCTTTGGTTTCTTTCTTTTTTTTTTTTCTATATTTAACTAGGGCTCAGCCAGAAAATTTATCCTGCATGCTTCCCTGGGAGACATAATATTCACTGACATTATCAATACTGGGCGCACTGCCCAGCGAGTGATTCAATATTAATTATTATTACTTATCGAGCATTGACTGTGTACTTTGGGTTACTAAAAACATAAGAGACAAGGTCTCTGGCCTGAGGGTGTGCAGAGAGCTTAGGTTAGTGAGACAGGATAATTTGGCTGATGCATACACAGCAGATCTGAGTTCGGTTGTGTTCCCTCTGCTGACCACCTCGTTGTTACCACTCACAATGGGAAAACAACCCGGTCATTATTAATCCCGATAGAGATCTCACCCAAAGACTTATGTTTTTTCTTGTTGTTGTTTTTGGCTTTTAGTATTTATTGGTCTAGTTTTAATGCATTTCACATCTTTACATGCAGGCAGTTTTAAGGGACATAATTTGAGGAGTACTAAATGATCCACTGCCCTAATGTATCACCAATAAAAATATTTGCTAACGTTTGTTTCTGGCTATGTTTCTGGAAATGTGCAATGGAGTTTACATGTATTATCTCATTTAATGTTCAATCATAAAAATTCAAAACCTTTGGTGTAAGAGTTTGTAAGAGTAAGAATATGCAAGCAGTTTGAAATGGTAGAGTGAGGAAAAAGCAGAATTTTTTATAGGAAGAAAACTCATTTTGTTAATGGGCATATTTAGATATAAAAAGCTTTTTTTTTTTTTAACTATCCAAGACTCTGAGAAATGTCTGTAAGGAAAGTGTGTCACTAAGTTCTTCTGTCTGTGGAAGTAACAGGGACTTGGAAGATCTCTGAATCTGGAAACTCTGAAGAATCCAGAAACTAGACGACCTAATAACTGAGGTACTTTAAACTTGGCAATAAAGAAATATTAAGGGGAATAAAAAGGAGAGGAGATCTCAGAAAACGTTGGAAGCTAGTCCTGGGTGAAGGACACATTAATCATGAATTACCTCAAGAGAGAAAACAGCCAAGTTTTTTAAGGTAATGATATCTAACCTTGTATTTTAAGCTACCCTATGTGTTGAGTTACAGTCCTCTCTGCTAACCCAGACTTTGACTAAAAATCAGTTATACACTCCACATACTAATGGCATGTCTGCACACAGAATAAAGAAGTGTGACAGGAGGAATTTATAAAATGACCCCTTAAAGATGTCTCAGCCTCATCCCTATTTATATCTATTTATATACCAAGATATCACACTCAGGATTATGTTATATTATATGGCACAGTTGACCTAAATTGTGAGACTACCAGGTACCTTTAATCTAATCACATGGGTCCATAGAAGAAGAGCGTTTTCTCTGGCTGATGGCAGGAAAAAAAAAAAGTCATGAAACATGTGGACTTGATGCATGGTTGCTTTGTTGAAGATGAATGGGGTCACATGAGAAGACACACGGGGGGCCTTAAGGAGTTGAGAGAGCGCCCTGACAACCAGCAAGGAAACGGGGGCCTTAGTCCTACAACCGCATGGAACTGAATCCTCCCAACAACCTGAGTGAACTTAAAATAACTGAGCCCAGATGACACCTTGATTTCAGCCCTGAGCATAGAACCTACTCAAGTTCACCTGGACCTAAAGAACTCTGCACTAGTAAGTGGGTGTTGTTTTAAGCCAGGAAATATGTAATAGTTTGTTACACAACAGTAGAACACTGATATCAGTTATCACCATTACAGACCAAAAAAGGAATGCACATAGAAAAGGAATCATGACACAAGACAGAGAGCATAGAGGAGGAATAGGACAGAGATGATAGATGGAAAGAGAAATGTAAGCTCCTTGAGAAGCATCAGCTGCATTAGGAGGACTCAAGATTTCCCACAGTGGGATGGATGCTCATCAGTTTTATTTGAATGTTAAACACGTGTGAATCTTCCAAATGTCCTGATTTGGGGGAATATCCTGTGAAAGAGACATAAAATCACTGTCCCCATTTATGAAAGTATTAGTGAGTAGGGAATTTTAGTGGCCTGGTGCAGAAGGGATGTTAGAAAATCCCTAACTGTGGTGAATACATAAAACTGTATTTATCCCATCTTGGATTATGTTTTCAGATGGAAGCTGTAAAAGTTATAATGTGTTAAAACTATAGTAGTTAACCATGGAATATTTCACAGGTAGCAATCAGAAATCAGAGGTCTTTTGTTTGCTTCAAGATATTATTAATTATATCTACAAATACTAGTATGCTCTAGACTATAAGGGTACTACACTTGCAATTAGATGGCATTAAATTAAGGCCAGAATATCAAAATACATATACATATATATATATATATATATGTGTGTGTGTGTGTGTGTGTGTGTGTGTGTGTGTGTGTGTGTGTGAGATGGAGTTACGCTCTGTCACCCAGGCAGGAGTGCAGTGGAGAGATCTCGGCTCACGGTAACCTCTGCATGCTGGGTTCAAGCGATTCTCCTGCCTCAGCCTCCAAAGTAGCTTGGATTGCAGAAATATACATACATTTTCTAAGGACTTCCAGTTAAACACAGAAAACTGATCATTCATTTTCACTAGAAATCCTACTTGAAACAGCACTAAAATATCAGTTAAAGAATTTTTTATAGGTAAAAACCAGAAAGAATAAAGAAAACAGAGGAGGGAAATACAGCAACGCAATTTTAAAAACCAGAAAACACTAGGATGAATGGTTGCTGACCTATAAGTGGTTACTACCATCCAGATGTAGGCACATTTATGGTATAGCAGCCTGGAAAACCTCAGGAATTGATGGTACTAGGCACATCTGATAGAGAGTAGGTAATGCTGAAAACAGATGTACTGTTGGCATGTCTCTCAAATCACACCTCACACACTATAGAATTGCTTATTCCCCCTTTTCCCTTCACAGCCAAAGACTGTGAGGTACATTAAGCTCAAGAACATAGGTTCTAGTGGAGGAAGGGGAAGGGTCATAATACTGGAAACAAAGGGATTTAGTGAAAGACAACACATTAAATGGTGAGGTCTCAAGCCTCCATCTTCTACTAGATTCTGTGCATGATGGCAGTCAAGTTTACAGCTTATGGCAAGAGATTAGACTACGGGTTTGAAACAATGGCCTACTGCTTGTTTTTATAAAGTTTTATTGGTATATAGCCATATCTTTTGTTTATGTATTGTCTGTGGCTACTTTTGTGCTACAATGGCAGAGTTAGCCAATAAGGCCTAAAATATTTGCTACCGGCTTTTACAGAGAAACTTTGCTGAACCCTAGGCTAGAAACTCCTTACAAGGAAACTGACTGGGACAAGTAAACCATCTATAGAAACTGAAAACCAGAGTTTCCAAATGAAATGGCTCAGCATGTATGTAAATCCTGCAATAAATCTACCACTAGACAAAGCCCATCTATGCAAATAGAATTGACAAACATCTTTGCAGTGAGTGCTTAGCTTCCCTTTAAATATAAAATAACATCCAAGGATTACCAAACATTTAAACAAAGTCTATAACACGAAATACAAAGATTAGAAAGAAAAATGCAGAGATTGGAGCTAAAAGAATCAATGAAGGTAGCAGAAGGAAAAAATGAATATACATACACATATATATGCAATGTCCTTGGATAAATAGATGGCATCAATTAAATGAAAAAGGGTTATACAAAAGAAGTATTCAGATAAAGCATTTTAAAATTAGATATACAATACCTGAAAAAAAATTCACATGACATTCTGGAAGTTCAAAGAAATCTAGAAAGTAGAAGAACAAAAAAAGGAAAGCAACAAATAACTAATCTCAGAAATTTTCTAAAGTGAAAACACTAGTGTTTCCAGATTGAGTGGTGAAACTGAGGGCTCACCACAATGTAAGAAAATAATACATATTTCTTCTAGGGCTCTGATACCAAATTAATTGGCAAATCTCAGCTTTTGAAACTGGCAGAATTTATATTAGGTTGGTGCAAAAGTAATTGCTGTTTTTGCCATTAAAAGTAACACAATTACTTTTGTTTGTTATATTGACCATATATTTATTACATACAATACAAATTCAAATTCTGTTGAATTTGAGAAAAGAGCTAATATATGGTCAAATTAACCAGTTTTTGTTCAGGTAATCTCATTGTAGATGTTTTGTTTATCACAAGTTCAGATTATTTTGCAAAATGAATCCAAAATACCTAGGCTAGATGCTTCACAACTAACTCAATGGCTCAACAATTCGTGTAACATTTTAGGACATTCGATGATAGTAGTGTCCACTCTGAGGAAGTACGGCTGTTTCCTCCCAAGTAATCACAGAAAGTCCGAAGTTCCCAAAAGCAATCCAAGAGAATCCATTTTGCCAAAGAATATCCCAAAAGTATTTTATGAGAATATATATATCAAAAATGCTGTGAAAAAAGCATTAATAGAAAAAGTGATTTAAGATTTTTTCTTCCTCGTCTTTTTGCACCTTACAGATATAAAATTCAAAACTGATGTTAACTTTTTTATTACACAGATTTTAATAGGCTTATCTCTCTATAGTAATGGAGAACTTCTGAAAACCAAAATAGAAATATGGTTTGTTTGCATAAAAGTTCAGTGCCTGGCTCTTAGAAGGTAATCAAAATTTTAGAAGGTAATCAGAATTTTAAGATTTAATTTAAAAGTTTAAATTGTATTCATGTCTTTAAATTCAATAAGAAATAAGACATATCATATGTTCACATTATTTTCACCTCTTTATGAAGTGAAATTATTTAAAACTGATTTCAAAATGTCTTCAAACTTAGGTTTGGTGGGTTTGCCAATACAACTTTAATATATTCAGAATTACTTCATAAATATCCATTCATATCAGTTTATAGTCTTGACTTTTGTCTTGATGTTATTGACTGTGCATCTTCATGGGCAGAAAGACATGAAATCTTATAATAAATCTTGGAATCTCTTTCTAAACCTTCCTTTTCATCTATTCAATTTTTAAGTCCATTTAATTAAAGTATATCACACATAAATCTTCCTCTCTACTGTCATAGCTAGTACTCTAGATCAGGCCCTAGTCACTTATGGCTAGGCTAACTAATACAGTAGAAATCCGAGGGGTCTTTGTGTATTGAGCCTCTTGTCTAGTATATCCTGTAGGTGAATTACAAGGAGTTACTCCTTGGCTCAGAATCTTTGAGTGGATTCCAGGGCGTTCAGAAAAGTCCAATATTCAGTATAATGATAGCCAATAACCATGTGACCTGCCACCAATCTCTAATTCTGGCCCTATTATAAACATAGACACACATACACACACACACACACACACACACACACACACACACGGACACACCATCCTCTCAGTGTTACTGGCCTTGCTTTGCTCTTTGCCATATCACTTTCTCTTCTAGAAAGCCTCTCTTTTATATTTTCTTATGCTAATAAACATCTTCCAAAGACCCAGATATAATACAGATATTGCAAATAGGTGGTTTGGTGGTTTGCAGGTCAAAAGTGGGCATCAAATATATTTTGTTAAACTGTGTGTGTATATAATATATATGTAGGCATATATGAATTTATGAAATATAATCAGTTTATATATTATATATTATATCTAATTTTATAAAATATAAAAACATAGATATATAAATAATATATACATATATAAATACACTTTAAAAAATTTGAAAGGTTGAAGATTGCACATAGAACTTTGGCTTTGTAGCTTCGCTTGAGAAATCAGAAGTCTTTGTCACGTAAGGGTCCTTATCCTAGAAGGTAATAATTAGCTAGAGCTAAGGAAACGTTGTCCTCTTTAAAAGGATATACACTCTCCAGTTTTCCTTGGTCCCTACCACTCCCCTTTATATTACAGATGGTTTACCCAGTTGTTCATTTATGCCACTCTCCTCTCCTCTTTAACCTTTGTTATCCCTGTAGACTTTTGAATCGGTAACCTCTGTTTCCTATCTTCTTCTCTGTGAAAACTTGTCTGATTACTCCATTCACTTCAGATCCCTGCTTTCTCTGCAGTCCTATAGATTTTTAAAGTACTATTTTTCCATCTTATTAACAACAAAACAAACAAATAAATACAAAAATCTACGACCAAAAGCAACATTTGATGCCTTTCTCCACTAATGCTTTTTAAACTCCTTGAGAGTTGTATTAAGTCTCATTTGATGTTTTTCCTCTCAAGGAATTTAGTTTAGTAAAGCACAAATACTTTGCGATATTGTTTTTCTTCAGAGGGTAAATGAGTAAATAATGAGGCTTCCCTAAAATAATTTTCAATAAATATAATTTGCCACTTCACTAAAATGACAAATATACAGATATAGCTCAATGAGATCACTGACATACATAACAATCATTAAGAGTTGTCACTTAACTATTTCTTTTATTGTATTTTACTTTCCATGGCTAAATAATCTGCCATTCTTTAAGCTCTGCATTTGGTAGTCTCATTTGCACATGTGTTTTTCTCATATCTTCTGCAATTATCTTAATGGAATGCTTATTTGGGCCCTCACAGATCTTGCCATATGGAAATAACTTGTTACTTGCTATGATCTTACATATTACTTCAGCATCTCCACACACTTTTGTATGCAACATGCAAAACTCAGTCTTCATTAGTGGTAGAGTGATTTGTTCAAGGAGACAGACAGGGTAATTAAATCTTACAGAGTCAACCTATTAAGCCCAAATTACTTAGAAGACTATAAATTTAGAGCCATTGCCCTTCTTTTTAAGTTGGGCAAAACGTGGAGTTTGGTTCCATGAATTCTTGGTCTTAGATTTGTTTGAATGATTTGATTATCTGGTTCCAGGGAATTAGAGTGGACTCACATTTTTTAAATTGACTAAAATGTAGCTGTTAAAACAGAATAAAAATTGACTAACGGATTACTTGAAAATTGACAGCACAACTCCTGATAGATTAAAAACCCTAACATCTTCTTTATCATTTGATCCAGGAGGAGAGAAACATAAACCATCCCTCTACTACTTAAATTTGGACCTTCATTTAACCTTCTAAATATTCTTTCATTTCGTATGTGTTGGCTCTGGAAAACATGAATGATATGCTCATCAAGAGAATTAAAGTACAGTTGTTGTATATTAGTCTAAGGGAATTATCAGGTCTCTTTAATAATAGGAGTGTATCTTTGCAATCAATCAGCTATTCATTAATAGAAATAGCAAATTTGTCTTCATTTCTAAAAAATATTATTTAGTTAGACTGAGACTCTTCCTACGTGTTGTATAATTGCTTTACAACCCTTTTAAAATTACTGTCATTTTTGCTTTTTATTAGCAGAGTTCATTTTTGTCATGTCTATGTGATTGCAACTAAATCAGATTAAACTACAAGATTTAGTTTGGCTGATTTATATACCACTAAGTGTTGTTTTTTTATCTTGGTAAATAAACAGTAATGATGTAGTTTGAATATAGAGGTATTCTATATTACTCATCATATGTATGTATTAAGAAATAAAAAACTAGCTGCTTAGATGACAGCATCAGCTTTGGCAGACAAAAATGTTGAACTTGGGTTTAGTGTCCCCTTTGACAGTAACTTCCTTAGACTTCTGAAAATGTATGCTGAACCAGTGAGACTATGAGGCTAATCTGTTTTCCTGTTCCTACTATCTTTCTAAGAGTGCGAGTTAAGAAGTATCTTTTTACTTCAATTTGCTCCCTGAAGAATAGGAAAAACATACAAGTTTAAATACTTAAATAAAGATCAATTTAGTCCAAAACACTGAAAAGAGTAAAATATAATTAGCCTTGACATCTGCATGCCTATTGTTTTAAACATGATTTTTAAAATATCTAAAGATTATTGGCATTACTTACTAGTTTCCTATGTAAATAAAAAGTGTATGGACTTGGTATCATTATTCAGGCTGTTTTCTAAAAAAATCATTAACAGTTTCTTTTATGTACAGTTAGTGGACATGATTAGTAAACATCTGAATAATGTTCTCTTCTTTTTCCTTTCAGGTAAACTTTTACTGAAATTTTCAGGTAAATTTTTGTTTCAGGCAAATTTGTGCTAAATTGTTATACCAACAACAAAGCATATAAATCATAATTATTTAGCTTTTTCTGTACAATTGTATGCAAAGTGAACACAGCCATATAAAAAGTACTCAGATCAAGATGCAGAACATTACCAGCAACCCTGAAACCCACTCATATCCTTTCCCAGACACCGTCCTTCCAAAAATAACTACTATTCTGGTTCTAAGACATAGATTAATATTTTTCTGTTTCTTAAAGCACAATGTATATACCCTTTTGGCTGGTTTCTTATTGATCTCATTTTTGAATTCAACCATGTTATTGCTTGAAGCAATAATTTGTTTGTTCTAATGATGTGCAGTATTTTGTCATATGAATAAAACAAAGAGTATTTGGTTTGTTTCTCCTTTGAGGTTTTCATAAATAAGGATGTCATAACATGATTAAACATGTCTTTCTATTGGGCATGCACCTAGAACTGCTATTGTTAGGTCAAATGGTAGGCATATATTCGACTTGGCAGATGCTGCCAAATAGTTTTCCTAAGTGATGTTTTCCAATTTACACTCCCATCAATAGTGTATGAGAATTCCATCTCTTTCAAAACCTTGCCAACACTTGGTGTTGACTGTCTTTTTCATTTCAGGCATTCTGCTGGGAATATATAAATATCACATTGTAATTTAATTTGAATTTATCTAATAACTAATTAATTCAAGAATCTTGTCATGTGTTTATTTGCTGTACAGACTAGTATTCTGAGAGTCTGAACAAATTCAAATCATATCCATATGGCTTCTTAGCATTAGTGCTCAAACTGTCGTTTTGTAGGACTGGGACTTTAGTAGAAGATCTGAGTCTATATGCCATTGGGAATAAAATAATGAAGCAAAAACATTCCTCCTACACCCCTCCAATATCACCATGCCTATCCTCAATGCTTGCAAAAGTAGATCAGCTTAGGGTGAGGGATGATTGGGTAGGTATAAAAGAGATGTCTAATGGAGCTAAAGATACAAAATGTCATGGCATGCATGATTTTTCCATTGTGGAACATATATTTAACCTAAAAAATGTCAATCAGTCTAACAAACCAAAAAAGGAACATCGATCACATCATAGTATAGAGCACCCATGGTGAAGACTGAGAATCAGATGAGGCAGCACACAAGCATTCCCTGCATTCTGTGGTCCACATTGCAGGAAACAATCCTCCCGTACCACCACCACTCCCCGTCCCCACACACTGTCCATTAGGTATCAGCTAACAAAGACTGTGGTAAAGGAAACTCGAAGCCAATGTATAAGCAAATACTCAGGATTTTCTGAAAATAGCAAGGGCCTTAAAACAAGAAAACACCAACACCAAAGGTCAGCAAGAGATAATAGTAGCAAAAGCCATACAAAAAAGAAATAGAAACTATTATCATGGCCACATTAATTCTAGTTCCTCCTAATATACTGAGCAGGGAGGGTCTAGAAAACTATATTAGAGTAGAATCTCATAAGACTTAAAAAGGGTCTTAAGCATGAGAGGAACAGAATGGCAGAGGGAAAAAAGACTTGAAGGGATTGTATTCTTTACACAAATTATCTTTGATCTAATTTTAAATATAGGTAAATTTCTCAAATGGCCCAAGTGAAGATGTTTTTAAGACACAGTAAATTAAGGAAAGGCAAAAGGGAAGAAAGCCAACTGGGACAGGTAATTTGGAAAGTGAAGAAGACAGAACTAATAAGCCAACATGTATTGAACATCTTTTGTGTTCTGAGATAGGGAGTGAAGCACCCATCTGAAAGCAAGTGTGTGAACTGTGGGAGAAAAATCAGCCCAGGAGCAATGATTTCACACATCAGTCCTTGGAGGTATGTTGTACCCAATGAGGACACAATCATGGTGTCATGCAAATGTTGCCACTATGTACTCTGTCCTTAATCTTTGTCAATTCAGTCTTTTCTAAGGATTCGAAATAACAGAAAGAAAAATTGTAAAGTTGTTTTGCTTGTCTGCCTGCCTGCCTGCCTGCCTGCCTTCCTTCTTTTGTTTCTTTCTTTCTTTTTTAGTCTTGCTCTGTCGCCAGGCTGGAGTGCAGTAGTGCAATCTCTGCTTACTGCAACCTCTGCCTCCTGGGTTCAAGTGATTCTCCTACCTCAGCCTCCTGAGTAGCTGGGATTACAGGCATGCACCACCACACCCAGCTAATTTTTGTATTTTTAGTACAGACAGGGTTTCACCATGTTGGTCAGGCTGGTCTCGAACTCCTAACCTCGTGATCCGCCCACCTCGGCCTCCCAAAGTGCTAGAATTACAGGTGTGAGCCACCGCACCTGGCCTGCTTTCTTTTCTTTTTAAAATATGACCATTTAACCCAATTTCCTGCCTTAAGTCTTATGAATGGATCTCCTCTTTTGGGATTTTGACACATGCGGTGTTCCCTTTGCCATCTCTGCCTTGCCATTGCTCCTCTTGCCATACCCATCTCCTTTCCTCTTTTGAGAGAGACATATATTTGTCTCTCCATTTGTTTTACAAAGGAATCTGGATGGCTGGGAAGGAAGGGCTATTTTTCCTCTTGGCATGCTGTCAGGCATTTGTGGCATGTTGCAGTTGAGACTGTGTTTATTTTTGCATTGTATATCAGTCTAATTTAATATGATTCCTGCATAAAACTGTCCACCCATACACACACACATTTATATATTTTATTTTATAGTCAGGGAATAAGGATTTTTCACCTCTAAAAGAACAACTGGCAGACTGTGGTTGCTGCCTGCCTACTGAATAGTTTATTGAGAGCATAGTTAAATTGACATGAGACTTGTCATAACATTTCAAGTTATCTTTGGAGTAGGAGCCATGATTTATTTATTTATTTATTTATTTATTTATTTATTTATTTATTTCTCTTTCTTCTTTTCTTCTTTCTTTCTTTCTTTCATTCTTATTCTTCTATTTAATGTCTTTTCATTCTATTAAGCTCAGGGTCGGCTTAACTCAGTAACTTGGACTTGACATCATACCTAACTTTTAATTTTTAAGAATTCGGGTTTGAGAAATAAAGTTCCAGATCTGATGAAGGACTGCATGGTGTTAAATTTGATAACTACCTCAATATAGTACATAAAATTAAAAATCTCCCATGTTTTCCCTGCTTCAGGAAGCTGGAATGGTAGGACAGTCCACCTGCCTTTATGAAACAGTGTAACTCCCATTCCTCCATCCTGTCCCTGGCAACTTTGTATCCTCATTTATTTTATTTTGCTTATTTGAGATAAAAAAGGATAGGAACAAATAAAGTAAATCACTTGAGACCTCAGAGAAAAATTGTACTGTAGGGCATGTTAGCACTTACTAGCCTATTATCTGTATTCTACTGTGTCTCTACACTATGGAATTATTAAATTTATTTTGATCCATACAAACCATTGTCCTGTGAATAATGTGACACCCTAAAAGCATCAAGTAAGAAGTTCTGCTGTCTCTGCTATTTTAAATGAGCATGTGTAGTTTCACTTCTCTTCCTCTCAATTGACTCCTCCCAAAAGAGTATAATTAGCAATAGTTTCTGGGTTACTGTACCTATTTAGCATGTCAGTAAAGACCTAGAGATCAATGGGCAACATCAAGGCAGTAGTCCAGGTTTCATGAATAAATTTCCCCAACCATGAAATTCAAATCGGTTCATTCGGATGCCACATAGAAAGCTGGAATGTGATGCCTCCCAGATAGAATCCCAGGGAGTGCCTTCAGCGGGGAAATAATGGTCTAGCAGACACTGCTCTCCATGAGGGGTAAGCAACAGCATCATGAAGTTAGAATAAAGACTCATTACAGGAAACTCTGAACATTTGCCTCAGATGCTACCACCCTGAGACCCCAGGCTTTCTCAGAGAATGAGTCCAAATGAATACATCTGGGACATAATAAGCCAAACCACAGAGATTTTGCACTGAAAAATAAAAAGCAGCAATGCTGGAAGTGAGCCAAAGGTTACAGTAAGCCATGATCATATCATATACTGTGGATGTCCAAGATGAAATATGGATGTGCCCATGTGATGAATGGCATATGGCCAAAACAGAAAACACACTTGCCCTTTGACGTTAAGTTCCAGGCATCTACACGTGGGAGACATTTCCATGAAGGAAAAAGCGCTCAAAATTGGAAAATAAAGCAATTGAGAAGTTGATGTTGATGGAAAGATGAAATGAGTTTAATAGAGACAGGTTGCCTTTATAAACAAAAAGACAAAGAGTTATACAAGATCTTGAAGAATTTGTTCTCTATATCCCTAATATCTAGAAGAGTTCCTGGCACATGGTTATTATTCAATATACATCAGATGAATGAATGGCTTTCAAATATAAACATTGCTATAAAGAAGTCATCACTGTGCCCTATAGGAACATACAACCACAAGGTATTTTTAAGGTTTTCCTTTAAATGCTTGAGAAGTAATTTAAACAGAGTAGACTCAGATATTCTTTCTAACCTCAAGACAAAGTTTATGTGCTCTCATAATTCACAAAGGGAAGGTGAACTTTTTAATAAAGCCGACAAGCAAAATTCTCTTGATTGTGGGACATTCCAGGCCTGTGAATAAGCCTTTACAGCTGTGCCAACATTCATAGACAGAAGCAGAAGCTTGTAATTGATCACATATCATAGATTCCCCAGAAGAAATTGTGAACTCTAAAAGCATGCACCCCATTTGCCACCTAGTACCCTGTTCTTGCTCCTATTTAGATGTATAAATGAAACTTAGTAAGTTATATTTTGCCGTATATGAGGATTTGGGGCTTTGTCTCGGCTTTGTCTCAAATAACTTCAGCAATAGAATTATACTTTAAATCTTGGCTGATTTTTGAATAGCCAAAATGTATTCATTGTGTGGCTGCAAACATGTAATGTGGTATGCACTTGATCAAAACTTTTAACAAATTGCAAGAAAAGATATATGCTTCCCATATGGGAAGTCGGAAATGAAAGGGCAATGCTTATGATTCAACACTGCAATGTTTAAATAGTTGTTCCTGGTAAAATTAATTCAGGATTCTAGCTCTGTAGAGGAGATCAAAAGGAAAACTGTAGAAACTGTTGCTATCTTGACAGATCATCTGCAGCAAAAACAAAAAAAAGAGTAACTTCTATGGGAAGATTAGGATGTGTGAGCACTGAGGCTTTATGAAAAGGTGCATTCAAGGTCTTTCTTTTAATAGAGTTTGAATGCTTGATAATAAGCATATTGTTCACAGAGTTTTGGGACGTGATGACAGAGTCTATTTTGTGACCACCCGGCTTCCTCTGGCTAACATTAATTATATGCAGAAATGTAAGTTGTGAAGTGGACGACTGGAAAATAAGCATACCAACATGTGGATGGGCTTTCATGTAACTGGATCACCTTCTGCTTCTAAGTAGTTAGAGTCCTACATGGTTACTCTTAGCCTCCTTTTGGTTGAGGCTATTCTTCAATTCAAATCCCAGATGAGCGATCAAGTGCAATGTTTTCTACACTAAATACCTGTTCTATGCAAATTAATTGTTAAGGGTTAGATTGGCATTAAATGCAATTATTAACTTATTGAAATAATGTGGAAGGAATACAGCCAGGAAGAGACACATGTCAGACCATTTCAAGATCTCAAAATGAAAGAACAACATGTGGGTCCTCTACTGGTTCTTTAGATCCCATTTTGTGTTCCACACTGGGTAGGGTTGCTTCAAGCCACATTGTTCTTATGTTACTCTTCTTTTTAGAAGTTGGCAGTGAAGCCCTAGTCACAAACCCTGTGCATACCTTCCTTGTTCTCTGCAGAATTTATCTAGTTGTTCATTCCCCTTTTCATTGGATTCCAGGCCAATGAATTTCCCTCTTTCTGCCATCTCTCTGACTCTAACTTGGATGCTTAATGTTCCTCTCCTTTAAATTTAATGTAAATTTCCCACAGGATTCTGCCTTTGGCTGTCCTTTCTTTTCCCTTCTAGAGTTATCTTTCATTCATGCCTTCTGCTTAAGAATCCTAAATCAAGAAACATGTTTTTCACTCACCCTATTTGCAAGGGACTACAGCCATTCTCCTCATAAATGTCCTGTCAGCACCTCCAATTTGACATGCCTATAACTAATCATCTACTTTCTTCTTTATGTATTCTATACTATGTCTCATCATACTCTCAATTGGCAGAAGCTACTGCTCCAGTCGGACAGACTCAAAACTGTAGAGTCCTTCCTATAGTAGGTCTGCATTATAAATTTAGTGCTAATCTTGTAATAATGTAAGGAAGTAAATTGCGCTTCTTTACTGTCTTTCACATGTATCCCTTTCCTTTCTATTATTGCTACCAATCATCTAGCTAAGAACTGTGTCTCTCTCGTAAACAATATCTATAAGAGGATTTGTCCTACTGCAATTCCTTCCTTGAACTTACACCTCTGTTCATCAGACAAGCATTACTATTACCATCACCATTGTGTAGAATGGTAAGAAAAGTATTATTAAAGCAGAACTCTGGTCAAGCCATCCCCAATTATATAACTTTCAATGGTTTCCAAATACTTCCTAAAAAGTAAAGTACAAGAAAAACAAGGAAGACTAATTCTAAAGCAAAAAGCCATTGGGTTATATGAAAGGAAGACTGGAAGAAGAATCAAAGATAATAGCAAATATTTTCCACGTATAAGCTGAAGGACTGTGGATATGTGGTGAGTTATTACTAAATTATGCAAAGAACCATAATTTGCTTATTCAAATCATTACTCTCTTGGACAACTTCCTTTCCTAGACACCTTAGTATTATTCTATAGGTATACATGTATAAAATGAATGTATTTCCCAATGATGTATTATGGAATCCGATCAGTCATATGCTTGTAGAAATGGGGCTGGGAAGACAAGTGAGGACCCTGTGGGATGAGGCCTGTGGCTTGGTGTTACCGGCAAAAGGCTGAACAACTTCTGAATTTTGCCAAGTCTAGAGAAATGCTGCTCCGATACATCTCTAAATATCAGCAGGTCTGTTTTTGGTCAATGACTAGCTGTGACACCTAGAAGGGAAGCAATGATACTAAGAGTTAACAGCTTTTCCCAATCTGTACCAATCACATTTATTTCTGAAGAAACCCTTTGATGTACTGAAAGCTCTAGAACAAGAAAATTACTTTCTATCTAAAAGGCTCCATCATACCTAACAATGAAAATCACATACAATCCTTCAAATCCAAATAAAAGTTCATTTTCCATAAAGCCTTTCTAAGTTATTAGAAAGGTTTTTGTCCTCTGTATTTTATAGCTATTTTTCTGAATCTCAGTTATAATCTATTATGTCGTGTTGAATATATTAGAAATATAATGTAATGTATTATCTCTTAATGTATTCTACATTCCTCAGTGTCCACAATGGAAGGAGAGAACATGAAATATAAGATCGAAAAACGTGTTTGAGAACCATCTCTGGGACATATGAGTTTTGTGAGGAACTTTGAATGAGGTCCATAACCTTTTTGATACCCACTTTCATAATCTGCAAAACACCA